>NC_000013.11:91404494-91707524 GCF_000001405.40 Homo sapiens | reverse complement strand
ATGAGCTTCCTGAGCAGCTGGGACCACAGGTGTGCCAACATGCCTACCTAATCCTTATTTTTTTTGTAGAGATGGTGTCTCGCTATGTTGCTCAGGCTGGTCTTGACCTCCTAGGCTTAAGCAATCCTCCCATCTTGGCCTCCCAAAGCACTGGGATTACAGGCTGAGCTATCATGTCCAGCTTGTTTATCTTTTTAAATATAGCCAACCTACTCAGTGTGAAGCGGCATCTCACTGTCTCAGTGTGGTTTTGATTTATATGCCACTAATGACTAACAATGTTAAACATCTTTTCATTTGCTTATCACTCATTTGTACAGCCTTCTTTGGAGAGTGTGTATGCCCATCTTCTGCTGGGTTAATTTTTAATTGATGAGTTGTAAGAGTGTCTAATTGTATTAATTAGTGCCTGAATATAAACATTAACTTAGACCATGTCATATATTGACAGTAATGTCTTATTCCTGATTTTAAAGCAAATGTATCCAGTAATTCCACTGTGCCCTTGGAATTATATAATAAGCCTATAGTTTTTTCCAGTTTTCTATTTCTATTATGTTTCATCTTCAATTTTTATATTTATTTCTATGATGTTTTAATCTTAATTTATTGTTACATGTATATTGTTGCTATTTGGCACATTCCTAACTACTCGATATTCACTATGGATTGCATTCTTTATTGTTACAAAGTATATATTTCATTTCTTGTTTTTCATTTTCTTTTTTGTTTTTGCCCTTTATTCATCCTGTAGGAACATCTTCTTCAACTCTCAGTTCCCACATTTGCAGCATATTACATCTGCTCAATTATCCCATGATTTAATGATTTCTCCCCTACTTGGGGAGCAGTTAAATGAATTCAAGTTTCTAACACTTCCCAACAAAAAAGTACCATCCATCATAAGCAACCTATTTTCTTGAGACCTTTTATTTCTCAGTGTGTTAGGTCAAAGTATAATTTCCAAAAAAAATTAAAAATATGACTCTAAAAAATATGTAATGAGCAGTTGTGAAATATTTTTTGCTTAATTTCTTAATGAGGGAATAAACAGCACAATCAAGCTGCTTGAAAGGTGAATACCAGAGATTAGCATTATACTCCTTACAAGAAGAAGCACGGCAATATTAATGTCAGATTTACAAGATGATTGACACTTTTCAGATAAAACAAGAACTTTTTGGTTTGTTTTCTCAATCAGGCAAATATCACTTATAACTCTATGGGGCAAAAATTATTTGCTACTTATCAATCTTCTGTAAATTAAATCTAACTTTACAGATCTTAGTATGGTCCATAAAGTGATGAAATAGTAAGTAAAAAAAAAAAAAATTACATGTAGCTAGGGCCAGGTGCGGTGGCTCATGCCTGTAATCCCAACACTTTGGGAGGCCAAGGTGGGCGGATCATGAGGTCAGGAGATCAAGACCATCCTGGCCAACATGGTGAAAATCTGTCTCTACTAAAAACACAAAAATTAGCTGTGCATGGTGGCGCACACCTATAATCCCAGCTACCAGGGAAGTTGAGGCAGGAGAATCGCTTGAACTCAGGAGGCGGAGGTTGCAATGAGCCGAGATCGTGCCACTGCACTCCAACCTGGGCGACAAGAACAAAACTCCATCTCAAAAAAAAAAAAAAGAAAAGAAAGAAAAAAAAAGAAAAAAGTTACATGTAACTAGAGATGGCTCAAGGAGCTCACCTTAAATAATTGGAGGAGTATAAGTAATATTTTTCATTCTTTTCAGGTTTTGGGTAATTTTTCTTAACAGTTACTACTTTATTATTGGAAATTATAACTACATGTCATTTGGAAATATGGGGGGGGGGGTGTTTTTAGAGTCCTTCTCCACCCAAGTAAGAGAATAAAGGTTTCCTATTCTTAGACCAAAACCTGAAGGTAACATTGAAACACACAAATCCTTCCCCCCAACGATGATATCCAGCATCAAACATCTACTGCTGATCTGATGAAATGAGTTTGGATCATCTCTAAATCAGACTATCCATATTGTGCTTCCACTGTACAGACAAATGTCACTGAAGAGTTTAGTACACATCCTAATACTGACTCTACCAAAACCTACCATGCTTTCTATTGACATTTTCCTTGGGTAATCTTTCAACAAAAAGTGCCTCATCTGCTTATTACATAGAGAGTAGCTGAAAATAGAATAAGGAGAATAGCAGGCCCCAATTTTTGAAAGTGGGAGGTACTACCTGTCTCAAAAGATAGGTGCTAAAGAGTTAGATGTTAGCAGCCAGCCTTTCTGATTCACGAAGTCAGAATCATAAATGTGAACAGTCAGAAGGGGAAAAATGTGAGTGGAACAAAATATCCCACAGTTAGACTACACATTCCTGAAATGTGAAGACTTTGAAAATTCCTATTATTTCTTCCTTAGTTGTTAAAAATGAAAACAGAGAAGGGAGTATAAACCTTCTCCATCCTCACACCTCTTACACCACCCTTCCCATGCATAGCTGAAACCAGCCAGACACAAGACCAAGAAGGGAACTGACAGCTGGAGTCTTCTCTGATCATCTCTAGATAGATTAGGTCTCCAAGGTCAAATAATGCAAAGTTTTATTAAAGAGAAAGAGGATCAGTGGCCAATGTTGTAGACTTGCATTCCTCCACTGTAGAACTTCTCAACTATTGACCAAGAATGATCACAGGTGTGGAAAGAGATTTTCCTTCTTATTTACTGAGTCAATTAGGAAGGGGTTAGGGTAGCCAGAGGCCCTGGCTATCCACTCTGGCCTACAGAGCTTAGTCCTTACTCCGAGGATCATGTAATATGACTATTGACTTTGTGGTCAAGACATGGAGAAAGTTGAGAGGCACTGTTTTCCTTGTCCCATCTTGAGTGAGGTTGTCCTTGGTTTTCAAGTCCTGAGAAGTTTTAGGCAGGAGGCTCACAATGGTACTCTGTGGTTTTCTGTGGCCATGGAGTTCTGGCAATTTGAGGTGACTCATCAGAGGCTTCAGAAGTCATGGAAGGTCCAATGACTGCCATGATGCTGTATGTAATACTGATCCTGGGGGCCCCATGACCAGCAGAGGCAGCAATGCCGTGGGAGCTTAGCCCAGACCCAGATCCCCTAGGAATGCTCTGTGGCGGGGGTGGGTCATGCCTTCTATGGTCATATAAAAACTGAAAGTGAAGGGGTAGAAAAGGATATTCATTCCATGCAAATGGAAACCAAAAGAGTATAGAGGTGGTACTTAGATGAAATAGACTTTATGTCAAAACTGTAAAAAGAGACAAAGAAGGGCATTACATAATGACAAAAGGATCAGTTTTAAAATGTTGCATAAGAATTGCAAATATGTATGCACCCAACATTGACACACCTAGATAAAAAGGTACATATTAATAGATACAAGCCAGAAATGGACTGCAATACAATAGTATTGCAAAGAGTAGAGGACTTCAATACTCTACTTTCAACAATGGCTAGATCAACCAGAAAGAAAATCAATAAGGAAACATTAATTTTGAACTACACTTGAGACCAAATGGACCTTAAAGAAATATACAGATAATTCTGTACAAAGGATCATAAGAGAATAAAATGAATAAGTATATGCAAACAAATCAGATAACCTAGAAGAAATGGAAAAATGCCTAGAAACATACAAACTACCAAGACTGAATCATGAAGAAGTAGAGAATCTGAATAGACCAATAAGGATTAAGGAAATTGAATGAAACATTTTAAAATAATTCCCCATTATATAAAATCCCAGATGAATGGCTCCACAGTTGAATTTCACCAAACGTTTAAAGGAACTAGCACCAATCCTTCTCAAGCTCTTTAAAAAGTCAAAGAGGAAGATATACTGCCAAATTCATTTTATAAGGCCAGCATTACCCTGATACAAAAGCCAGATAAGGACACTAAAAGAAAATAAAAGTACATATCATTATCCCTTATGAACACAGATTCAAAAATCTTCAACAAAATGCTGGCAAACCATACTCAGCAGCAGTGACATTTATCCCTGGGATGCAAGGATGATTCACCATATACAAAGACATAAACATGATATACCACTTTAACAGAATGAATGACAAAAATAATATGATCTCAATAAACACACACAAAAAAGCATTTGATACAATTCAATATTCTTTCATGACAAAAACTCTCAACAAATAAGTTATAGGAGGAATTTATCTCAATACAATAAGGGCCATATATCACAATCCCACAGCTAACATTATACTCAATAGTGAAAAGTTGAAACCTTTCCCTCTAAGATCAGGAAGAGGACAAGAGTGTCCACTCTTGCCACTTCTATTCAACATAGTACTTGAATTTCTTGCCAGAGCAATTAGGCAAGAAAACTCAATAAAAGGCATCCAAATAAAAAGGGAAACAGTTAAATTGCCTCTTTTCAGATAACATGATCTTATTTACAGAAAACCCTAAATACTCCAAGAAAAGGTAATAAATAATAAACAAATTTGGTAAACAAATAATAAACAAACTTTATTAAATGACCAACAGGTATATTTTTAAATGCTTAATATCACTAATCAAAATAAACATAAAATCTGTAGCACTTCCATACACTAACAGCAAGCTATCAGAAAAAGAAATCAAGAAAACAATCCCATTCACAACCACTACCAAAAAGTCACTTAGAAAATAAGTTTAACAAAGGAAGTTGAAGATATGTACACTGAAAACTATAAAAATTGATGAAAAATTGAAGAGGATGAACTTAAATAGAATGATGTCCACGTTCTTGAATTAGAAGAGTTAATATTATTAAAATGTCCAGTACCTAAAGCCATCTATAGATTCAGTGCAATCTCTATCAAAGTACCAATGAAATTTTTCACAGAAATAGAGAAAAAAATCCTAAAATTTGTATGGAACCACAAAAGACTACAAATAGTAAAGCAATATTGTGCAATAAGAATAAGGCATCACACTGCCTGACTTCAAAATATACTACAAAGTTATAATAAACAAAATATCATGGTACAAGTATAAAGACAGACATGCAGACCACTGGAACAGAATTAAGATCCCAGAAATAAATTTATGCATCTCTAGTTAATTAATTTTGGACTAACATAAGACCTGAAACTGTAAAAGTACTAGTAGAAAACATAGGAAAAAAATGTTCTTGACATTAGTCTTAGCAAGATTTTTTGGATATGACCCCACAAGTACAGGCCACAAGAGCAAAAATAGACAAATGAGATTCCTTCAAGCTAAAATGCTATGCATATCCAAGGAAACAATCAACAGAGTGAAGAGACAACCTGTGGAATAAGGGAAAATATTTGCAAGCCATCATCTGATAAGGGCTTCATAGCCAAAATACATAAGGAACTCAAACACTCAATAACAATAAAACAAATAACCTTAACCACAGCAGAGGGCCTGAATTTAGACATTTCTCCAAGGAAAACATACAAATGGCCAAGAGGTGTATGTTTAAATGTTTAATATCATGAATCAACAGGGAAATGCAAATTAAAACCACAATGAGATATTATTTCAAATCTGTTAGAATGGATATTACCAAAAAGACAAAAGAATAACAAGTGTTCTGAGGATGTGGAGAAAGGGGGAAACTTGTATGCTATTGGCAGGAATGTTACTTTGTACAGGTGTTATGAAGAAAAGTGCAGTGGTTCCTCAAAAAATTAAAAATAGAACTACCATATGCTACAGCAATTATCCTTTTGGGTATACATCGAAAAGATATGAAATCAGTATGTGGAAGAGATGTCTGAACTCCCATGTTTATTGCAGCAGTATTCACAATAGTCAAGATACAGAATCAATCTAAGTGTCCATCAACAGATGAATAGATAAAGCAGATGTGAGATATATACATATGATTCTGCACAGCCAATGAAACAATCAACATAATGTAGAGAGAACCTATGGAATAAGAGAATACACACACATACACAAACACAAACACACACACACACACACACACAGTGGAATATTATTAAGCCTTAAAAAGAAAGAAATTCTGTCATTTGCAGCAACATGCACGAATCTAGAAGGAATTATGCTAAGTGAAATAAGTCAGGCAGAGAAAGACAAATGTTGTATGAATCTCATTTTTATGTAGAATCTAAAAAAGTCAAACTCAAAGGAGCAAAGACAATGGTGTTTGCCAGGGCTGAGGCTGAGGACATGTTTGTCAAAAAGTAAGAAGTTTCAATTAGACAGAAAGAATGAGTTCTGGAGATCTATTGTACAGCATTGTGACTATAGTTAATAACAATGTATTATACACTTGAACTTTCTCAGAGAGTAGATTTTAAACATTCTCACTAAAAAAATGTGTACATGAGGTGAAGGATATCTTAATTAGCTTGATTTTAATTATTTCACATATATCAAAATATCATGTTGTACACCATAAATACATATAATTTTTGACAATTAAAAGGTAGTTAAATGAAAAATAAATTAAATTGTGGAAAGACATACACATGAGTTTATGCAGTATTAATTTAGAGAGATTTACCCCACAAAAGTAGCCGGAGGATTGTCAAAGCAGCTGAAAGCATCAGTGATGCACCTGAAGACCTATTCACATAAAATTCAATCAGAAATTATTTCAGAAAAATTCAAAAGAATCACTAGGCATTATTAAAAATTTCTTATTCCCAGGAGACAAACAGCTCATAATATTGGGATAAGAGATTGTTTGCTCAAAGAAACCTCAATAACTTAACAAAAGCAAATGCACATTTGACACGTAATTTGATTGAGGAAGAATGTAAGGGTTCTTTTTCCTTTTACATTTAGAATTAAATGGGAGTGAGTAACCTGGAAAGAAGAAGATGTCAAGAAAAGTGACAGAATAATAGCCTTCAAATACTTAAAGGCAAAGATGGCCAAGACTTAGTTCCTATCTTCACAACATTACATTCTAGTATACCATGGGTGACTATTACACATATAATCCTTCACCATAAGGATAAACTTTCCAGCAACTTGAGATGTCCACAAACGTGATGGACCACTCTTCTAGGAGGCCTCTGCTCAGATTCTGCCTTACAGACCTTCAGACTTTCACAAGATATTTAATATTTTTACCTCTCTCAGGAAATTATGTAAAAGTAAATAACTGTGATTATCAGTCTTTATTCTCAAGTAACTCACACCACAATATTTAACAGAAAGATAAAATCACAAAATAATCATGCAACACTTTCAAAGTTCTATGAACTGTTTACACAGAAAGTATTCAAACTTGTTACCTGCCCCTAAAGAATTTTGGACTTGCCTCATTATGAGGTACATGAGTCTTCATTAGCCCTCACCACTGCTAATCACCTCAGGAGAGGTTCCACTCACCACTATCACCACTCCACTAGCACAGCCCACACATGCAGGGGTCAAATCTCCAAAATAAGAAGGATTCAGAGCTAATCAGGCATGTGAAGAAAATTCCTACCAGCAGAGGCTGAAATATCACAGAACTACCTCAACAGAGTATCAAATTTATGATATCTAAACAGAAAATCCATGCACAATAAAATTACCCTTTGACTTGCCTCTAATCAGAAAACATCTCATTCCATATCTGAAAAAAAACAAAATTACCTTCATATTAAAAATAGAAACAATTAATTGTTACTACACACTTAATATGGCCACATCTGGAGTAAGAAGTTCCTCAACACTATATAGTGACCAGAAGTCGGTGGGTGAAAACCTTTAGAAAAGATCTCTACATAGAACTGTGAGTTAGAATAGATAACCCTCCTGTGGTCTAATGAATCTTCCTTTTCTGCTTTATTAGCTTACAGTGTTTTCTATAAATCAAAGTCAGCCCACTTTCATTGGATTCTTTCAGAGCTGACTTTCACACCAGGAGCTTATATTTTCCGCTCTCAATTGTTACAAATTTAATTCTTATGCCTTTTCTTTTTCTTTGTCAATTCCCAGTCTTATTCCTCAGAAGAGCCATGTACTAAATCATAAGTTCAATATCAACCCACCACATATGTTAAACAAAAATTAAGCAAAGGTAAAAATAATATCTTTCAACACTACTAACAGTTACTGTAGAATGTATTGCATTTAGATATCTAAAATTAAAATATCTAAAATTGCAATGGTATTTTGAATGAAATTTTGTCCAACCACCCATGGGCTTCGTCTATGAGGTAGCTTATATACAACCTTTGGTCACACCTTCCACCTTGTGGCAGCCAAGTCCAAATATGAACATGAATGAAAGCTCCCCCACCAAAACATTTTTATTTCAGAAACAATATCTTGTCAACTTTTCATATATTATGGAAACTGGAGCAACCCTAGAGATTCTACTTATTCATTCCAATCTCTTCTCTGTCCAAAGTTTATACATTCTGATCTGAGTCATGCTCAAAAGAACACACTCTACATATCCAACATTAATTTCAAAATAATTTCATCCATGTTTGAACCTCTCTAGGAACCAACTCTGGTATCATTCTATTTCACCCTAAGAATGAGATGTCCTTTCTTTAACCCAGGGGTCCTCACCCTCAGGTCTGTGGCATCACAGGAGCTGTAAAGTCACTGAAATTATATGCAATAGTTTGCATGTGCCTGTGTGTCTGCGTGTCTTACTTTTCTAGGGAAAGGGCATATTAGCCTTCTTATTATTGTGAAAGTGTCATGACCACGAGAAGGTGATGCACTCTGCCACCTCTTCTTCATCACTCAAAAACTCCCACACTGCACTAGACTGACTGACGCTAAGCAAATGTCATGACTTTTTCAAGTTCATGTGTGATAGTTACTGTAGAATGTATTGCATTTAATATCTAAATTTAAAATATCTAAAATTGCAATGGCATTGTATTTTAATTAGGTTACTTTGGAGACTGAGATTTTGAGAATTCTTCCCTACGCTTTTTTGTTCTCTAGTACTTATTTTTGCAAAATCTCACATACATCCATATTGTAGGAAAATATATATCACATCATTGAATAAATTGGACAAAATTAGCATTTTGTCCTAAATAATCCAGGCTGCTACTTTAACTTTTCTTTTATTGAAGGTATAGTTTAAATGCCTAAAAACACTTAATAAATTTACTATGCTTACTGTCTACAGATTCAGATAAATGTACAGAAGAAGTGATAAGATATTAGTTTCCTTAACAGTGAATTTAAGTATGTTAGTATATATTATACAATTCACCGTAAAGTCATTTTTGATAGGTTTTATTGATAGAATTATATAGTAATTCTAAAGTAATTTGAGTACAACCAGCTGAATCTCTATTAATATTGCATAGATAGAATAGCTGAAAAACTTATCTGTAAGAAAAAATAGAATGGGACTTTTTTTGTTGAAAATTATGATTCTGACCTTGGGAGGCCAAGATGGGTGGATCATGAAGTCAGGAGCTCGAGACCAACCTGGCCAACATGGTGAAACCCCGTCTCTACTAAAGATACAAAAAATTAGCTGGGTGTGGTGACGCATGCCTGTAATTCCAGCTACTTGGGAGGCTGAGGCAGGAGAATTGCTTGAACCCGGGAGGTGGAGGATGCAGTGAGCCAAGATCGCGCCATTGCACTACAGCCTGGGTGACAGGGCGAGACTCCGTCTCAAAAAAAAAAAAAAAAGAAAACATCTTTTTTTCCTAAAACTGTATAGAATCAATATTTAGCTGTGTTTCCTGGTAACATTTGTTCTGTTTAGAACATCTTGAAACAATGTTATTAAACCAGACTCTATGTTCTTATGCCTTTAATAAGTTAAAGTGTCAAATTATAGCAAGAAATAATATATTAAATGTAATTACTAAGAAATAGGATTTCAAAAAATATGAAGTATTTATTTACCAAATGAATTAATAATTTATTAACAAGAGGGTAATCTATTAATATTAACATTTTAATATTAATCCGTTAATATTAAAAATACGTTAGAGACTTGTCTAATATTTTCTGAAAATATCAATTTTTTCTCATTCATAAAGACAATTACAAGCATTTGTTTAATTAAATGATTATTTAAAATATTTTTTGAGCTCTACACCCCTAAGAAATAAATGTTTACTTTGGGAGCATTTAAAACATCAGAGAAGGCCAGGCGTGGTGGCTCATGCCTGTAATCCCAGCACTTTGGGAGGCCAAGGCGGGCAGATCACAAGGTCAGGAGTTTGAGACCAGCCTGTCCAATACAGTGAAACCCCATCTCTACTAAAACTACAAAAATTAGCTGGGCATGGTGGCAGGCACCTGTAGTCCCAGCTACTTGGGAGGCTGAGGCAGGAGAATCGTTTGAACCCGGGAGGTAGAGGTTGCAGTGAGCCGAGATCATGCCACTGCACTCCAGCCTGGTGACAGAGCAAGACTCCATTTCAAATAAAAAGAAAAAAAATTCAGATAAATCAGTGAATTATTTCTAAATAATATAATGTGATAGTGATAACTGGTAAAATGTAAACACTATGCACAAGACATTAAGTGTGTAAGTTCATTTTATTCTCACAAGGATACTATTATGGTATTTCATCACCCCATCTAACCAAAGAGGAAACTGAAGCAAACAGAGATAAAATAAGCAAATGCGTAAACTCAGAGCTAGTAAGAGGCAGAGACAGATGTGAAATCCAATTTAACACTTGGACTTGTGCTTTTAATTCCTACTCTTTGTTACCTCTCTTCTTTATTAAATCAAACTTTGTCTTAATAAAATCACAGAATTATGAAATTTAAAAAATTATCTTGTAAATTAACTTTTGTTTCTCTAAACATTAACCAAATATAAGGTACTTATGATTTTTCTCAGAAAACTAAACTTTGTTTCCAGTTGAAATTCATCCAACAGAAGTATTTTATATATATATCAGGTATCTCCACAGATATTTTAAAGTGAAAATATGTATTTATGGAGGAGTAGACTTGGAAGTACTAGATCTCAGAGATTTCTTTGGGAATGTGAGAAAGTCATTATTTGCTGGCTTTCCAGTAATTTATTTTGAATTTGTTAAATTCATCGATGTGCGAACTGGTTATCAAAGTTTGATAAAGAGCTTATAAATCACTTTGAATTGGTAGAAATAAATATTAATGGGTCAATTTTCAAGGAATTTAAAATCAGTTTCTTCTTCTGTTCCCATAAGTAAAAAAGAGGACTCAGTTGTTTTATTTAGAAAAGAATCCATAATTTATCAGTAATAATTTATATTTCTCAAAATAGTCATAGGACTATTATATAAAATCAGACTATTTTAAAAAGAGCACTCTCTTTGAAAATACAGCAGAGAGTTTTACATGATAAAAGTTGTGTATAAAACTTCTTTAGGAAACATAAACCTGATTCTAATACTTTGAGATACTAAAGTCACCTGCTTCACCAAGGTCTGCTTAGGGCCTTCCTTAGAATAAGGAGAGAAAAGAGTAAGGTTATCAGGTACCAACTGCCTACCAGTGTCAGACTCTGACCAACACTGTCCTATTTAAGTTATTCCTCCCTTCCTTTTCACATAGGACAAACAGGCTTAAGGGTTTTAGAAGCTGACCCAGCCCACATGACTAATGGGTAGCAAACTCAGGATTTGAAAGCTTGCCTGTCTACTGCAAACTTTTATTTTAGTCTTTGAAATAGGAAACACAGAAGATTTTCTACAGGATAGATTTTAAGGACACAAAAAGGCCCTTCAGGTTTCCAAAATACATAGGAAAAAAGGTCTTGAAAACCTATTCACTTACATATATCAGAAGGTCCTGGCCATGGGACATTAAGTTATAATGACCCAAATTAATAATCAAATCTGGACTTGGTCTCTGATTTCTTGTGCTTACTTTCCCTTTTGGAGATACTCAATAAAATAATATGAGCATTTTGGTCCGGCTCAGTGGCTCATGCCTATAATCCCAGCACTTTGGGAGGCCGAGGCGGGCAGGTCACGAGGTCAGGAGAACGAGACCATCCTGGCTAACATGGTGAAACCACCTCTCTACTAAAAAAATACAAAAAATTAGTTGGGCATGGTAGTGGGCACCTGTAGTCCCAGCTACGTGGGAGGCTGAGGCGGGAGAATGGCATGAACCCGGAAGGCGGAGCTTGCAGTGAGCTGAGATCATGCCACTGCACCCCAGCCTGGGTGACAGAGTGAGACTCCGTCAAAAAATAAATAAATAAATAATAATAATAATAAGAGCATTTTGTTCCCTGGATCTAAGTGCTTATTTTTCAAGGAAATACTTGAAACCACAGCAGTCATTGGTACCTCCTTTTGAGATGGTTTATTGCATCCCTTCCAGAGGTTCTGGGCCATGTACAATTTTCATAAAAGGATGTGAGAAGACAAGAAGACCAGGCCATTACATCAAGTTGAGAACCCGGTTAATTGTATAGGGATACCCAGCTGAATGAAGCAGGGAGTTAAATTTCAGCCCACACATTACCCTATGCTGCTGTGCTGAATCCACCTAAAGGAGGTGTCATTTCTAATTTGCAGAAAGGAACCATAAAGGCTCACGCAGGACCTGGAAAGTCCCTGAAGGTTAGGAAGAGAAGGGGAAAACGCGTTTGGACATAAAGCTTTTCAGATTCTATCAGTCATTAATTAAAGGAATTGAATCAAAGTCTGTTTAAAAGTAATGAAATCGCTGGGCGCGGTGGCTCATGCCTGTAATTCCAGCACTTTGGGAAGCTGAGGCCTGTGGATCACCTGAGGTCAAGAGTTCGAGACCAGCCTGACCAACATGGAGAAACTCCCTCTACTAAAATTTTCTGCTTAAAGCTAATTTATGAGAATGCTTGTTAATTTGGTAAATCAATGCCAGCCTAAGGAGATGTCTTTTGTTGGCACTGGAGAGTATAATTTTATTTCAGGGGAATATGTTTAGTAGAACCATCAGCATGCTATCCTATTTCACTCTGGGATATGAGAACTATTACTAAGGGAGCCAGTGAATATTTAGAAAAATGGTTCTATGTAAGGTGAGACAAATAGAAAACTCTCATGTGTTTTGATTTGATGATTGTGTTTTAAAAACGTTTCAGCCTGCTAGGAATAAAACACCATGACCGTGTATACACTACATTTTAAAAATTATCACGCCATCACTGTGACAGATTTTGGAGCATCTCTGAAGAAACTCTTTTGAACACTAAGCTATCAAGTCTTAACTTCAGGGATATATAACTGGCATTTTCCATTTTAAAGCCAAATGCTTCTGAAATTCTAACAATAACTACCCATTTTTGGAGTACCAGGTACCATACTAAGTAGTTTGCACACATAATGCCTATATTCCCAAAAAAGAATACTTCAAATGTTGTATGTTACTATTTCCTTTTTATCACTGAGGAAATTGAGGTGCAAAGAGGCCAAAGGGACTTACCTAATTTCATTTAGCTAATTACCGGCAGGCTAAAGATTCAAATCTATGCTGTTCCTGATTTCAAACCTGAGCTCTTGCCACGTCACAGTACTCACCCTTTCAGCAGACTTCTACTTAGGAGAGAATGTGGTATTTCAGCCAATCAAAATTTTATCATAAGATATAAAAAAATAATATCTTGGATTGAATATATCAACAGACACATTCTCCTACTATTTCCTAAAGTATATCATGGCTAATATTTGAATTACAAGAAGTCAGACTGAAAATGTGGAGCTCCTACTTACCTGTTCCAATAATTTTTGTCCATTGAGGTGAGCCTGTAACACAGCATCATTAACAAGCAAGTGAAAGTTCAGCAGCACGTGTCCAATGTCGTATGTTCCATGCATTGCATCCGAGAGTTCTTCCAACGACCGGATATATGCATGCCAGTGTGGATTAAGCTCCGCCATGTGCGCCAGGCAGCCTCGCATGACATTGAGGCAGTATCCCATACAAGGCTTAGTGAGCGCCAGGCCTTGGCAGTGCGGGCAGTATTGCATCTTCAGGAGGGCTCTGCTGCACTCTTTGGAGAAGTGCAGATAGTCTGTGGTGTTGATGACTTCAATGCCCAGATTGAGTGCCTGCAGAAAAGTGCGGCTGGGCAGCAGGGACCTCCCCATCTGTCCCATTACTCTTTGGGGAATATTACCAAATGGACTCACATCCCGGCGAGCCATCCGGATGCATTCTGAGTATTCCAGGGAACTGTCAGTCACACCAGGGTTAATGAGGTGGTTGTAGACCAGAGGAAAAAGACTGTCAAAAAATCTGTTTACAAATTCTTCAGGATTAACATCCGCACCAAATAAATACAGCCCCACATCAGTGAAGAACTCCTGAACCGAAGCAGCAGCCTCCAAGGCCATGTTCCTGTAGGTACTGCAAAAAAGTATACTGGTGTAATTTTCTGCTTGTTTGATGAGAGTTTCAAGGGTTTCTGTAACACAAGCAGAGGTAAAACATGAGAAGGTTTAGTATTCATGCTAACACCGTCCATCTGCTCCAGACATTAAATGACTCATCAAAACTAATCTAAGTATCTAAATTGTAACTCTCAGCCTACTCAACCAAATTCAGCTTTCCAAGGATAATGACCGGACAAGAATGACCATTGCCTACAACACACAAGTTTTATACAGACATATTTCTAGGATCACAATCTGTTTAAAAGTAATGAAATCACCAGGCGTGGTGGCTCACGCCTGTAATTCCAGCACTTTGGGAAGCCGAGGGAGGTGGATCACCTGAGGGTAAGAGTTCGAGACCAGCCAGACCAACATGGGGAAACCCCCTCTCTATTAAAAATACAAAAATTACCCAGGCATGGTGGCAGATGCCTGTAATCCCAGTTACTCAGGAGGCTGAGGCAGAAGAATCATTTGAACCTGGGAGGCGGAGGTTGCAATGAGCTGAGATTGCACCATTGCACTCCAGCCTCGGTGACAGAGTGAGACTCTGTCTCAAAATTAAAAAAGTAATGAAATAAAAAATAAGTTACATGTATGGTAGTTTCTTACTTTATTCTATAGTCATTCATAACTCACTAATGATAGAAAAAAGTGTCATTGAGAAATTTAATTCATAATCTGACTTCATTATTTATAAAAGATGGTCACATTAAGTACTTAATTCACCACCTGCTATATTTTTATAATTTTTAAAATCTTTTTCTTTTCCAGAATGAAAGCTAGTAGATTACACACTGGTTGCTACAAAGGGAGGTTAGATTCCCAAAGGAAAACCAGACAATCCTTAGACCTCCTCACATGTTCTAACTAAAGAGAAAGTAAAGCATTCATTTTCAAAGTATCCATAAATTATCACATTTTGTTAAGCACTGGGAAACCCATGAGTGCTACTATTTGATGAAAATAAATTATTGTGACCACATTATTAATCATATCCTTTTTCTTATCATCTTATCTTCAAAGACTTTACTGTGGGATATTTTGTTTCTTACTTAAATAACTGATGATCTCAAGTCAATTTATCCACAAAAAGAACCAAGAATAATTTACCCGTAAATTAAGGGAGAAAATCTAAAAATAGAAAGTTGGAATAATCAGCAAGTCAAAATGGTATATCAAAATGAGGCATTAAGCAACAGTAAACACCTTGGATATATTAGTAATTACATTTCATAATTAGCCTAAATAAGGATACTGGACTGTTTCAATATATAATAATAAAATATATTCAATAAAATTATCTCCTATAGTCCCAACCGTATAGTCACTTTTAATTAGGTTGTAAAAGATCACGCAATAACTTAGTAATCTAAACACTGTTTGAGTATATTACAAAAATAGGTGGAAGAAGAGTAGGAAAAAACAAAATGGAATAACAAAATGCAGAGGTGCAGAGAGAGCTACTAATGAAGCAGAACTGTGTCATGAATATGCCACAGAGTCCAAGTACAAATAAATAACAACGCAATATCATGAATTCTGATACTGATCTAATTCACATTGATTTCCAGGCTTTAGTGTGAGATATTAAGGTGCATCTACCCTGCAATCAAAGGTAACAGCTTTTAAAAGTAATTGCAATTCTGTTTCAATAGAGTACGTATAAATTGTTAGGTAGAGCTCATGTGTTACCTGTGCATCGCTAGTAACTAGTTCCTCAATAAAAATATGAAAGAATGAAAATGGGATGATTATGAGAAGGCTTCAATTGAGATTAGCAGCTCTATCATGTCAGCCAGCATTAATGCCAGGTTTCCCCAAATGGCCTGATCACCTGGGCTTCATGGGGAAAAAATACAGATTGTCAGGTCTCTGCATTTGAAATCCTAACTCAGTAGGTTCGTCTTGGTTCAGGAATCTATATTTAACAAGCAGTCCAGGTGATTCTTTTAACCTGGCCAGTTTTTGAAACATTGCGGTTGCAAATACGTGTAAAATATTCTCTCTGCTCTTACAGAGTTGTTCAGCAAGCATTCCACTATGATAACCTGACCCCACAGCTGCAGTCTCAGCCACTACACTCTGTTTTCACAGATCCACAGGACAAAGTGTGAAAACGGAATTGAATCTCTGTGGCTTGAACTACAATAAAACTGCCAAGCCTGTATGTTTCTCCTTAAAATAGGTCATTTTTCTGAGCAGTTTGTGTGTGGCTAAGAACCGCGAAGTGGGTCACAAATAATTTTATTTACCAATAATGGTTAAATCACAATGTTTTAAAATTACTTAATTTGTTAAAGATAAAATAAGGATAGATTCAAAGATACCCTATATCACAGGCATTCTTACATGCTTTCCACCCAGGTTTCTAAGATATGTGCTATATGTGTTCATGTGACTGACAATTGCCATATTATTCTTAGTGGAATAAAGGTTGAACATTGCTGAATCAGGCAATACTGATGTTCCATCAGATTTCTGCCAACTCTAAATGATGTTTACACATGCAATTTTTATAAAGGCAAGAATAAAATATTTCTTTATAAATTTCAGCCCAATTAATTTATAACACAATGATTTAGGAAAATATGGAGTTTATCTTTAAGTAGCCCTAACAGGTATGTTTTACAAAGTAATTTATATTGTAAAAGCAATGTTGAAGAGAATATATTTAATATTTAGGAGTTTTCATTCAAAATAAAAATGAATATAGCATTTCCAAATATCATTATTTCTCTTTTAAGGCCACTGTGTATTATTAGCAACAAACTAATTCTGATTACTCTTTGAGTTTGTAATTAAAAATAAATTTCTGAACAAATTATACAGTTTTTATTTGATTTTAGAGTAGTTTTTCTCTGATTCAGTTTTATTCTTTAAAACAAAACAACCAAAAAGAACCTGATAATAACTTCAGGAATCATATTAGAGTGAAATTTTAAAACTTTTCTCTAATAACACATGCATTAAAATTTTAGCTTTCATAAACTGTGTATTGACTTTACTACCCTTTGAAGGGGAAATTATATGTCATCAAATACAGTCATGTGCCTTGTAATGATGTTTTGGTGAATGACTAACTGTATATATGACATTGGTCCCATAAGATTATAATGGAGCTGAAAAATTCCTATAATTTAGTGACATCATAGCCATCATAACATCATAGTCCAACATATTACATGTTTGTGGTGATGCTGGTATAAACAAAAATATCAGATTGCCAGTCATATAAAAGTCTAGCACATGCAAGTATGTACAGTACATAATATTTGATAATGATAATAAACAACTTTGTTACTGGGTGTTTACCATACTATGTTTTTTATTGTTATTTTAGAGTGCACTCCTTCTACTGATTTTTTTTAAGTTAACCATAAAGCCACCTAAGTGAGTTCTTCCAGAGGAAGGCATTGTTATCACAGGAGATGACATCTCCATGCCTGTTATTGTTCCTGAAGCCCTTCCAGTGCAACAAGATGTGGAGGCGGAAGACGGTGATATTGATGATCCTGACCCTGTGTAGGCCTAGGCTAATGTGTGTGTTTGTGTCTTAGTTTTTAACAAAAAAGTTTAAAAAGTAAAAAAATAAATAAATATTTAAAAATAGAAAAAAAAAGCTTATAGAGTGAGGATATAAAGAAAACATTTTTGTACAATGAGTTTGTCTTTTAAGCTAAATGTTACTACAAAAAATCAAAAAGTTTTTTAAAAATTGAAGTTTAAAGTAAATTTATTATAAACTACTGTAAGCTAAGGTTAATTTGTTATTGAAGAAAGATTTTTAAAATAAATTTAGTATAGCCTAAGTATACAGTATTTGTACAGTCTAAATAGTGTAATGTCCTAAGCCTTTGCATTCACTCACCACTCACTTACTGACTTACCTAGAGCAACTTCTAATCTTGCAAGCTCCACTCATGCTATGTGCCCTATGCAGGTGTACCTTTTTTAAAAAAAATTTATACCATAATTTTATATGTGTATATATATATATATATATATATATATATATATATATATATATATATTTATATATGATTTTTTGAGACAACATTTTGCTCCATCACCTAGGCTGCAGTGTGATGCCAGGATCATAGCTCCCTGTAGCCTAAACCTTCTGTGCTCAAAGCAACCCTCCTGCCTCAACTTCCCAAGTAGCTGGGACTACAGGTGTGGACCACCATGCCAGGCTAATTTTTACTTTTTATTATTTTTTTGTTGAGATGGGGTCTTGCTATGTTGCCCAGGCTGGTTCCAAACTCCTGGCCTCAAGGTATCTGCTCCTTCAGCCTCCCACAGTGCTAGGATTACAGGCTCAGTCTATACCATCCTTTCACTGTATCTTTTCTATGTTTAAATATGCTTAGATACACAAAGATTTACCAGTGCATTACAAACGCCTAGAGTATTAAGTATAGTAACATGTCACACAGGTTTGTAGCCTAGGAGCGATGAACCTATACCATATAGCCTAGGTGTGTAGCAGACTCTAAGGTCTAGATCTGTGTAAGTATAGTCTGTTATATTTGCACAATGGCGAAATTGTCTAATGATGTATTTCTCCAAACAAATCTCTGTACTTCAGTGGCACACAACCGTGTCAATATTCTGTTTATTTCCTGAATATCTGAACACAAAATAGATTTGATTTAAGTAATTTATTGCATTAGTTTTTCACCATGCTATTAACTCACCACAATATCAAAAAATTGGGGGACTTTCAATATGTATTAAACCTGATATTGAAATATTCCAGTTAATTGAATTACCTAAATATATGTAATATACATATTTTTATATATCTGTGATCATAAGTATTTCTTAAATCCAACCAATAAAAAACTGTAAACTATTGGTCTATACATAATTGATTCTTCAATGCTTAGGGATAAACATATTTTGAATTTTTTTGTCCTAATCACTTCATAAAATTTTAATGTGTAAACACCTATCAAAAATGAACAATCTAGGAGCCAAGCCATTGAATAATTTTGTACTAATTTTTAATTAAAATTGGTAAAATCAGAAATTGAATTTACTCTAGCTACTTGTTTGTGTTAACTTTGAATTTGTAAAACTATCACTTTGTTCTTATACCATGTTTACCAAGGAGTTGAGTGTTTCCATTTTACTGAATTAACATTTTGATATTAGCAAGAATTTAAACTTTCAAAATAACTGTCAAGTAACAAAATATGTGCTGTTCTCCAAAAACGTAATAGACATATAAAATAATTGTTTATAAATCCAAGATAGGTAAGGTGCTGAACAATTAATCACATCTACTTAATTATGAAAGAGAAACTACGGTTTCTTTCATTACAGTTATAATACATAAAAATACTTCTCAACCAAGCTATATAAATAGTAGCTTTGTATTCAAGAATTAAAAATTGTAGCACACATTGAAAATAAACATTTTCCAGTCTTGTTTAAGGAATTTAAGAAACAGATTAGGAATAAAATTTTTTGTGTGTGTGTTTTTCATTGAGAATTTCAACAAGCTCTTCTTTCCAGTGATATCAGAATAAGTCTATCAAGACAGAATAATTTCCAGTTTTCCTTATAATGCCTGAGTGGTAGATCGAATTAAAGGCTGCAAGTGCAATCTAATTACTGTTTAAATATAGAATGTAATTCTTCCCAGCCTTATGGGAAAATTAATTTATCTACACATAAAATCATTTATGTGTTATCTCACTAAAAACTGGATTTGGAATGCATGAAGTTTATCTGCATCTATTTCCATTTTCGACATTAACATTCCGTTAATCTTAATTTAATGACAAAACACCTAAGACTGAAAACTTTAACTGCTTCCAGCCCACATTCCTTTTAGAGAAAATTTATTAAACCCACAAATGATTACTGACACAAATAAAGGATTTAACTTTAAATAAAACTGGTAGAGATAAAATTGAGTGATATCGATTTAAAATTAAATGTGAAAAATGTCAAAATCAGTGAAGATTCATATGCAGGTGGCTTTTTGTAATGAGAGAAACCGAAGAGTCACAAGGCTTTTATTAGTTTAAAGATAAAGTTGACTTCTAAAAGCAATGATTATGAATAACTGTTATAATAACCTCTCTGGCATGACATGTACTTATATTTTATGACCCTTTTAATATTTTTTATTTTTGATATATGAATGTTTTAACTTAAAAATTTTGAAATTTCAATTACAATTTGAGGCCACAGATATTCTCAAATATAGAAATGAAATAGATTTTAAAAGATTAAATCATATCAACCATAGAAAATCAGATGATTTTACAATGTATATCTGATTGAAGAGAAATTTTCAGAGCGAATTTGCATTTTGTGCATTACAACTCTCAAGTCACATATTATGTTATTGCAATGGATAATTCATTACTACTCTGCTACTTTAGAGTTGCTCTGTGCCTGAAATCATGTATCCCTCTGCATTAAATTATACAGATAGATGAATAGGTAGGTAGATCATTTTAAAAGTAATTTTATAACCAATTTTTATCACACACGTTACAATGAATTTTAATTCCATTTCCTTTTTTCTTAAAAGAAGTACTTCTGAATAATTTTAATAGTAATAATTCTTTTGATTTTCAGAAGACCATTATAGCCACTTGAAGATATATATTTTTAAATAAAAGAAGCAACTACCTAATTCTCTAGACTGGAAGCGTTTATACTGAATTTTCCCTTGTATTTGCATATTTCCTAATTTTTTTCCAAAAAGTAAAATGTGCAAAGTTTTCTGGAATATTAATTTAATGACATTTTCAAATGTTATGCAGAAATCAGTCATCTATATAAATAAATAGTGAGTGGGATATTAATCTGTATCATCAAGAATTAGCCTTTTGTTAATTAATCTTATCTTCTAGGACAAGCACTGTATGGAAAAATGCCCTCTTAACTCTCTTCCTCCCTCATTTCCCTCCTCATTAATTTGGGCTTCATGGTGCTTCACATTTATTTCTAATATTATTTTATAATTAATTATGTTTGAAAATCAACTTGATTTTAGCAGAAATTTAAATTCCCTTAAGCAGTTGTGTAACAGATAAAATCAGTTCTAAACAACTAACCATTGATTGTTTCATGAATTATTGTGGAGTGAAGATTTTAAATCAAATTTTCTAATAATCTTTAAACTCAGAAACACAATCTAGAACTACAAAGGAGCTATACGGAAGAGTTTCTTACTCACAACTTTATGTTTTTATACAGAACAAGTAAACCAATATCCTTTATTGGTGGTTCTCCTTCCTCTTTTTCTTTGTTTTTTTTTTTTAGTTAATTCATACACAAAAACATGGTTCTTCTTTATTTAAATAAACAAAAGCTTTCATTCTGCTAACTCATAATTCCTGTCCTCATTTTCTCTATTTGAAATCTCAAGAGAATGAGATGTTCTATATTTTTGGCTTTCAATGGCACACTGTCTATTCCCTCTTAGTGTATTCAAATCTAGTTTCTTTTGATATTCATTCTTTCATTCATCCATTCAACCAATATATTTTGAGCACCTGTTTTAGACCTTGAAGCTAAAACTGAATAAGCCATACAAGTTTCTGTCCTTATAAAGCTTAGAATCTACAGAGTAAAAGATAAAGTATAAAAGCAAACAGATATATAAATGATTTATTGTTATGTTAGGTATTACAGAGGGATAAAAGAGGGTAGGGGATGAAAAGTGAAGGGTGCTGTTTTCCAAAGATCAATTTGCTTATAATCAATTGACCAAAAGACAATCAAAAGCAAGTTCTTAATCTTATTCTCAATAGGAAACTTTCTGAGTTTACCAAATACATCCAAACTATAAACAATATTTGGTCATTTGCTAAATTAAAATATTGATTTGGACAAACTGGTTTGGGCAAAATGATTTTCTACAGATTGGCTATTTTATTTTATTCTGAGACAAGGTCTCACTCTGTTACCCAGACTAGAGTGCATTGGCACAATCTCGGCTCACTGCAGCCTCAACTGCCTGGGCTCCAGAGACTCCCCCACTTCAGCCTCCCAAGTATCTGGGACCACAGACAAGCGCCACCACCATGCCCAGCTAATTTTTGTTTGTTTGTTTGTTTGTTTGTTTGTAGAGACAGTGTCTCTACGTTGCCCAGGCTGAGATTGGCCATTTTAGATACAGTGAGAAGGAAAACCCTCTCTGAGGAAGCAACATTCAAGTGGAAGCCTCAGTGATGAAAAAGAGCCAGCTATGAAAAGATGAGTGGTTAGGGGGCTCAGAGAAGGTAGAGTGCAAGGTTACGAGGTGCAAAGAAGGTTGCTGACTATGCAAAAACAGAGGAAAGTCAATGTGATTGGAGCTCAGTGAGTGAGAATAGAGAAAGGTCTGAGAAGTAGGCAGGGGACAGATTTCAGATGGCCCCACAGATCATGGTAAGGGGTTCAGATTTTCTATGTGGAATGCGAAGCACTGGGGAATTTTCAACATAGGAGAAATGTGATGCTGTTCATGTCTTAAAGGATAACAGTGGCTGATATATGGAGCATGGACTGCTGGGTGGGTGTAAGAGTGAAAACAGGAAGCCCAGTTTAAAGGCTATGCTAACAGTATGGGTGACAGTCATTGCTGGGCTGGACTGTGGTATTGGTGGAGGTGTATGCTGCAATAAGTGATCAGATTGTCCATATGTACTGAATCACAGGCAAAATAACTTGTGGTTTGTTTGGAGGGAGATGTATAGGAAATGGATAAATGAAGGATAAATCTGAAGACTGGGCCTCAGTATCTGGATGCATAGTGGTACCATTAACTAAGATAAGCAAGAGTATGCCGGCTCCGTGTTTGTGTGTGGTGGGGTGGAAAATTAAAGGTTTTGTTTTGAACATGTTACCAGTTAGAAAATCAAATAAAATGTATCAGTATACAATTAGATAAAATAATTGGAGTCTCAGGAAAAGTTGAAGCTGTTGATATAAGTCTGAAAGTGACTGTTATGGAGAATAAAGTTATGGTGCTGGATGAAATAACCGAAGGGGAAAAGATAGGGAAGAGTGGAGAAATTTGGGAAAAGAAGAGTAACCAGCAACAAGAATTAGAATAAGAAGCCAGTGAAGTAAAAAGAAAATCAGGAAAACGGAGTGTCCCAGAAATCAAGGGAAGAAAATAATGCAAGTAGAAGAAAGTAATCTATCATGTCAAATGCTATTAAAAGGGCAACTGAGATGAGGAATAACAATTGACCATGGGAACTGATGAGAAAGAGAAGCCCTTAGCAACCTTGATAACAGCTGCTTCAGCAGAATATGAGCAGAAAAGGACAAGAATTAAGGCAACGTTATGGACAACTTCTTGCAAATGTTTGCTATAATGGAAGCAGAAAACCAAGACAGGCACTGGAGGGGGCTATGAGGTCAAACATTTTGCTTGTATGAGGAAGGAGAATTTACTGAATATTCACATATGGATATAGCAATAAATTGATGACTGAGCAGGCAGGATGGGAACTGCAGGAGGAAATTCCTTGAGTAAGCAAAAGGATGTGATCTAGGGCATTGATAGAGACTAAAATATTGGATAAATAAGTGGATGTTATAGTTGCCAAGAATAATGTCAAGTGAAGTCAAGAGAAAGAGTCAGGTAATAAAATGGCGAGTTCCTAAGGGAACATGACCAGAAGTCTGGTAAATGGCAGCATGGAAGCCGGACAGGCAGTGACTCTTCCGGCAGGCAAAGAGGATTTGCCAGGGGAGCATAGGAGCAAAAATGTGGATCCAGGAGCACAGCATCCCCAACAAAAGAGGATGATCCTGTTTGTTTCCTGTTGCTGCTGTAGCAAATTGCTAATAATTTCCCAGTCTAAATAACAGAAAAGTATGCCTTCTCAGTTCTAGATGCCAGGCATCCCAAAGCAGTGTCACTAGGCTGAAATCAAGGTGTGGTCTGGGCTGCACTGCCTCTGGAGGTTCTGAAAGAGAATTCATTCCTTTCTTTTTCCAGCTGCTGGTGGCTGCTGCCATTTCTTGGCACTCCTTGGCTTATATCCACATCACTCTAATCTCACATTGTCTTCTGCGTGTATTCATGTGTGAAATCTCCCTAGGCCTCTCTTTTAAAGATTCATGTGATTATTAGGACCCACCCAGATAATTCAGGATAATCACCCCATCTCGCGATCCTCCATTCAAGCACATATGCAAAGACCTTTTTTTTTTTCCCCATGTAAGCAACAATTCGAAGATTCCAGGGATTTGTCCCTGATATCTTTGGGGCCCAATATTCAGCCTACTACAATACTGATCACAGAAGACAAAAAAATAAAATTAAAAAATCTACACTTGATTTGCAAACTCAGGAGACAATGACTGTAGTCCAAGGTCTTCCACGTACTGATTATGTGAGCTATTTAACCTCTCTAAGCATCAATTTTGTCTGTAATAAAGTAGATGCAATCGTGTCTGCTCTGACCAAGGGCAGGATAGCTGTGAGATTCAATTGAAATAAAATGCAGCATGGTGACTAGTGATTCTTTCACTTCTTATGTTCACAGACTGCTCAGAACAATGTCCTAAGACTGACTGTACCCTCCTGCCTTTCCTGGGTGCTCATGAATCTGTTGAGGCAGGAATCGAGTCCTCCTGTTCATCTTTCTATCTCCCAATGTTTTTCCCATGAGGGGCCTCTGTACATTCTGATAGGGTTTGGTTCAAATGCCCTATAATTAGATGCTAGTCCCATGCGTGTAAATTTCCTGACTTCCTTGCCTCTCACTTATTCTCATCAGAAAACAGGTATAATAATGGCACCTATCTCATAGAACAGCTGTGAGAATTAAATGAATTTGTACATGGTACCTACTTGCATAGTGCCTAAAGGTAGAATGTGCTGAAAAACCATTAAGGAATAATAATAATAATCACTAACTTTTGCCATGTACTTGCCATTAGCTAGATGATTTATTAAGTTCTTTTGGAAAATTAATTCACTTGATTCTCCAACCCATGATACGGGTACTCTTACTAGCACGACCACCATAATAATACTGTGTATATAAGTAAACATAGCACACATTGTATTATTAATCATTCCTAGTTTACAGATGATCAAGTTGCAGCACTGAGAGTGTAAGTGATTTGATCAAGGTTTATACAGAAAGTAGCAGAGCCTGGATTTGAACCCTGAGTATTTGGTTCCAGATTCTGAGTTCGGAACCATATATATCACATATCGTACTATCATTTTCTAAATAGTCTGACACCCTATATAAAATAGCTGAAAAGGGATAGATGTACACAAAAACAAAATAAAGCAAGACAAAACTTTATATAATTGAACAAAATGCAAACATTTCACTGTTAATTAGCACATTAAGATATTGTGTATGATAAACCAAATTAGCTATTGAAATCGTTCTTTTCAAAAATTAACTAATATTATAAATATGGCAAAAATAAAGAGAAAGCTATGTGTTGCATTGAAGTCAACTCAGCTGGAAATTTTCTAATATTTCTAATTATGAAGTACAAAACTGCATCCTAATCTCTGGGAAAGAAAGATACCGTTTAAGATCTTTATCACCAAATACACTGTGGAGAAAAAAATAAATATTGTTGCTCTTCTACCACTCTTTCCCCTGCCAAAGAAAAAGTCCATGTCAAAAGATAATATAGGAGAAAATAAACTACTATTTAGTTAGAACAAGAAGGTGAAGTTAAATTCAGGGAAAAGATTTAGGTTATAGGGAATACTGCTGGTGATGCTGCATAAATTCCACTAGGAATGATGGAAGAGCTAGGCAGGCAGAGAGGAATAGTTGATTGGGTCAAGTTGTCACTGAAATGGTATTGAGATTTCTGCCAACCTCTTCCTAATGAAATGCAAGGGCTTCTTGTCAACATTCAGAGTCTCCTAGTAACTCTAGCTTCTAAAGCTGGTGACGCATTCTCTTATACCCTCTATTGGTAAAAATTTTGTTTCTTTCACTCATTCCTCTGCATCCTAGGCCAGATCGTTCAAAGTCTTGGTTCTTGTTTCTTAACATCTTGCTCAAAATATAGCACCACTTTTACAATGGCAAATAAAACTCCAAGCCGATTGCTCTCACATTTACATATGTAGCTCAGTAATCATCAAAGTTTTCGGTCTCGGAACGCTTTACACTCTTAAAAATTTATTGAGAAACCCAAAGCTTGTATTGCGGTGGGCTACACACATATATATATAGAAATACATATTATTCGTATGTATTATTTAAAAAAACTGATAATTATTTTAAAACATTTAATCCATTAAGAGAACCATAATAAACATAATGATACTAGATTACTGGTTTTGTAAAAAACAGAACTGGATTTTCCAAAACAAAAAATGTTAGTGTGAAGAATATCATTGTTTTACATGATTGTAAATTTCATTATTGTCTCACTTAATAGAAAAGAGCTATATTCTCACATCTATTTCTGAATTCAATCTGTGAACAGCATCTTGTTTAGGTCAAGGTATATGAAGAAAATCGAGCCTCACACAGATGCAGTTGACAAAGGCAGCCTTTTCATTTAATAGGCTTTTCAGATCATTGTTAACATTGTTCTTTGATATTACACCAAAACATGACGATGGATTGTTTCTTCAAGTTTAAGTGCAATACAGAATCTAAAAGCATACCACTGGCCAATCTTTTATTATGAATGGTTCTCTTACCCATTCAAGACATTGTAATCCATGCCTTGACATGTTAGTTCATAAGTTATGCAGATTTTCCTCATTTTGACACATTTCATCACTTTTTTGTTTGTTTGTTTGTTTTGAGATGGAGTCTTGCTCTGTCGCCCAGGCTGGAGTGCAGTGTTGCGATCTTTGCTCACTGCAACCTCCGCCTCCCTGGTTCAAGTGATTCTCCTGCCTCAGTCTCCAGAGTAGCTGGGATTACAGGCATATGCCACCATGCCTGGCTAATTTTTGTATTTTCAGTAGAGATGAGGTTTCACCATGTTGGCCAAGCTGGTCTAGAACGCCTGACCTCATGATCTGCCCCCCTCGGCCTCCCAAAGTGCTGGGATAACAGGTGTGAGCCACTGTGCGTGGCCTCATCACATTTTTAAGTACTGGAAACTGTCAAGGTCATGGTGATGGATGTAAGTTTTCTAAATTTCCAGTTTTCTTTTAAAAGCTCAAATATAATTGCTACCAGCAAATACAGTACGTTGTTTTCCTTGAAGCTATAGACTCATTTCGTTCAATTTTAAGAAAATGTTTGCCAAATACTTAAGTCTGAATTACCATAGCTTGCCTGTCAATCACTTTGTTCAAGAAAAAAAAATGGTATTCAGAAAAAAAAAAATGTGGCTAGTTCAGCTTGCAACTCAATTGCAAAAGTATCTTTCATTGAGAGAGCCATTACTCTTTGGTATGCAGAAGACTTGCTTTATGCAATCTTATTTCATGACATAGAACATGAAAAATATGTGTAATTGAGAGTTTATATTTAACAGTCAATAATTTTTGCTGTTTTATCTGGACTTTCTTAAATGCAATGGCTTTTAAAAATGTGAATTTGTGGAGGTAAAACATACAGTGATTACTATTAAAAGTACAGTTTGATGCCACCAATTTAATTTGTGCTAAAGCCCCAGCAGTTTTGCTCACCATTGCTTTTGTACTATAAATGCAAATGCAAATACAGAGGAAAATGTAAACCATGACTTCACAGTATTATGAAATAGTTTTGATCTCAAAAACACTCTGAGGTTTCCGGAACCCCAGACCACTTTGAGAATTGTTGCTGAAGCAAATATTTCTTACTGGAGATTCTAGCTATTTTTCCATGTATAACATATCAACCTAGATCTGTATTTGCCAATTATTTCCCTCTATTGTTTCAGCATCTTTCTGACCTCCTTATTTTGTATGTTAGGATCAACCATCTAAGCATCTGGACTCAAAGTCTTAGAACTTTTATTGCCCACGTCCAGTGAGTCATCAATAGCTGTTCTCATGGCACCTGTATACCTATGTAACAAAACTGCATGTTCTGCACATGTACCTCAGAACTTAAAGTATAATAAATAAATAAATAAATAAATAAATGTTGATTTCTTAAAAAATTATTTCTCATTGCCAGATATTGCCTTAATATCTCTCTTATCCACTTTGGATTACTAAAAGAGCTTCCACTGGTTCCTCAGTCCATTTTTTCCTCAGTTAAATATTGAGCACTTTAAATGTTTTCATACTTATTTTCATTTATTTATTAAAATACAATGTTTACCCCAGGACAAAGTCAAACTCCACAGAACTGAGTAAACTAATACACTTTGATTCACATTGCAGAGTCTCCAAAACATGGCTAAAAGAATATCCAAGTGCTAGAAAAGACATTTTGTTAAGTAGTACATGGCATTCTCAACCAAAATGAATTAACTGAACTTGCAGTTTCTCAAATTACATAATGATAACTTACCTCAATCTTTTCCTTTAAAGTCAGCTCTATAGGATCCACAAATGTACAAAAAAAAAAACAAAAACTCCTAACATCCTTGAAATAACTATCACAGCTTAATTTCCTGTGCCATCAATTAATTATATTTTTATTATGTCTAGTCACTACAAGTCATCGATCATATTTATTGCTCTAAGAATTGTCATTAACTTGTACCCTCTTCTTGGTGCTAGAACATTTTGGTGGAGTTTTTAAATCTAAATAACAATATATTAATATGAACGACTAATGAAGCATCTTATCTCTTCTTCATTTCATGGTTCTTGGGATATCTGCCTACAGTACAGTGTTTAAAATATATCCATTTGTTTCTGTTAGCTTTATAGCAATGGCTAAGGAGTTTCATTAGGCAACACAAAAATATTCTCCAAGCCATCATACAAATGCATACTAAAGTATACTATCGACAAATTCTAACCACCAAATGTTCTAATATAAAGTGACTTAAAAACGGTTTAAATTTAATCTGCAATCTCCTGATTTTACCGCATCCTAAGCATGGTCCTACACATCTGCTAGATCGTATTGCCAAGTGTCATAGTTGAGCGATTCCTACAGTTACAGGTCGGGAAACAGAGGAAGAAATGAATTGAAAGTATTCACTCCGAAGTTACAGACAGTTTAATAAATATACTGTTTCTACTTTGACATGAGAGAAACTTCCTCAGAAGGTAGGCAATTCTTTTAGACCATTACATTCTTTCCAAATAGCTGGAGAAAAAAATTGTAATTCTTTCTGATAACTAAAATGGGTTATAAAGCACAAAATCAATCAGACCAAGAACAGTCTGTTTTACTACAACATCCATTTCTGCTTTCATAGCTCTTATCAGAAAATACTCCAACAGTAACATAGTCAAAAGCAGAAAGAATAGGGTGTAACAATTATGTGATTTTTGCTATGGGATACTAGCAGCCCTTTTTAAATGCACTAGAAATATATATTTAAAAACAAAGGTCCTTCCAAAGATATGACTTGTAGAAATCTAGATTCTAAATAACTGTGATTTCAAAGATATGACTTTAGAAACAATATGAATTTTCTTTATAAACATTTACCAATTCAAAAAATGGTGTCTTTATTCAAGAATTTTTAAAATAAGAATAAAATCCCTTAATGCTGCAATTTTGCAGGGCAAGATCAAAGTGCTTGGAAAATCCGTATATTAGAATGCAAAAGAACTTGACAGATGAACTAATTCATCTGCCAAATGCCCCCATAACCAGCTCTGGGACTTGAGGTTCTCGTCTATTAAAAACAAACAAATATAAACAAAATCTTCCATTTTAAAACCTTTCTCAGTGCCCAATTGTATATCTAATTTAATCAAAATATCATGGCCTTATAGCTAAGGCACCAAATTCCATAAAACTGGAGTTAAAATCTATTTCTTTTTCAAAATTTGTTTTCTTGGAAATTCACATTAGTTTCTGTGTGGAGCTGCAGTCATATATTTGAAAATCATTAAAAAGTACCAAGTATCATTTAGGAAGGTACTCACCAAGGTCGAGATTTAATAAAAGGATTGAGCCATAATTCCTCTGTATTGCACCCCTGCTTATGATTCCCTTTTTCTTTCATTTGAAAGAATTATCTATTCTGCTTCCTACATCTTTTTCACAATGAACTCCAATATGACCATGAGCATTATTTATTTTAACAGCTTTCCCACTTTGGTCATGTTGCAGTCCACACTTGTTATTACTGCACTTCATTTTGCTTTTCTATTTTCAATTTGAATGTAGATTCCACTTCCACACAGCATGAGCATGCAAGCTGTTCCCTATCCATATATAGTGAAGTGTTTTAGGCAAACATACAGATTGTGTACTTGGTTCCAACGGCCTTAAAAAGCAGTGGTCCCTGTCCCTACCCTACCTAATCCTCGTAAGGTTAAGCGCCAGCTCACTTATCACTCTAACTATACCCAACAACAGCTTCTTATCAAAAGCATTCTCTGGATGAAACTTAAAGCTAGCTTGGTAGTTTAAATAAAGTCAAATACAATTTATGCAGTGTTTTCAAAAGCCTCCAAACCATTAAGATCTTTAGTCTTCCTGAAAGCACGAAGCCTGTTTCACTGTTCCAGAATGATTAAGTTACTCAGACATTCACATTCACTACTCTGTGTGAGGGAGGGTACAAAAGAAAAATAAAAGGTACTTGATAAAATTTCACCAAGAGCATTTTAGTAAACATTCTATACAATTTCCTCTAGCTAAACTACTCTAAGTTGCTACCCAGGATGCCATATAGCTTTCAACCTGTATTAAAAGCTGACTTTTTTTTCATTCTGTTTCTGAGTACACCTATATCCATGATGGTATATTGGCTTGTTGTACTAGACATGACCTAGCATTATCCAACATTAAAACAGCCAAAGGTGGCCGGGTGCGGTGGCTCGTGTCTGTAATCCCACCACCTTGGGAGGCTGAGAAGGGGAAATCACCTGAGCCCAGGAGTTCAAGACCAGCCTGGCCAATGTGGTGAAACCCTGTCTCTACTAAAAATACAAAAATTAGTCAGGCGTGGTGGCGGGCACCTGTAATCCCAGCTACTTGGGAGGCTGAGGCAGGAGAATCGCTTGAACCTGGGAGGTGGAGGTTGCAGTGAGCCAAGATTGTGCCATTGCACTCCAGCCTGGGCGACAGAGGGAGATTCCATCTCAAAAAACAAAAACAAACAAACAAACAAAGCCAAAGGCTCCCATGATCTATGGCAAAGAGTTACTTCAGGCTCCTGATTCACATCAAGACATTCAGATTCCTTAAGTCCAGAAATCTGCATTTTTAGTACATATTAGAAAACCTGACCCTGACATTTCTAAAAGTCGAACCACCCTGGAGTGAGATATTCGATGTTCTTTCTTGGGTGAAGCCTAACCTGTTTTCCACTCTTATCTCCTCCACTCTTTCATCTCCCGCCTCCTTGTTCCCCTGCCCTCTGCTTCCATCACACATGGAGCTGATGCTCCAAACCCAGAAACACGATACTGTTGGACCCTCTGAACCCTTCACACAGTCCATTTTTTCTATCTTTTTTCTATCTGGAACACATATTCATCATTAAGAGCAAACCCCATCCTACACAGGAAGTCTCCTTAATCCAATTAGGCTATTGGTTGTACAATCTACTATTTCATACCACTGTGTGAATATCACTTTGTAGGTAATACACATATTGCAGTATTTTATAATTAGTTGCTAACATCCCTACATGTCCCACTATACTTACAGTCCATGAGGTCAAAGATCATACCTTACTCATCTTGTACTTCTAAGCACCAGGCATGCAATACAAGAGGTTTGTAATAATTGGTTTTTGAGCCAAAAATTGAATGTTAGTGTGGAAATTATTTTTCAAGCAAATCCAACTACTCTAAATTCCTAGTACCTATCAGCACATATTTAGTGCCATATATCTTCAGTCAGAATCATGGAGAATTGTGAAATCAATTTGTCAAAGATATATATTAGTGTTTCTCTACTAAGTCCTTATACTTATTGTAAATTTAATTATGTTTAACTTATGTAAAGGGATGCTTTGTCTTTTCTACCATTTTCATCTCCCATATACCCAATAGGTTTTTTTTTCCCCTGAGTTTTTTTTTTAATGTAACCAAAATAGTGCCCTAGGGAAAGGAAGAAAGAGTGATAGTAAACAAACGCATTATTCACCATTCAGATGTTTAGGAAACATCTGAAAAGCACGTGTAGGAAGAACACGTTAATGATCTCTGATTGCAAAGGGCAAGGTCTCCTGGACTAGTCTAGATGAGAAAAAAAAGGGAAATAAGGGTTAGAAATTTTTCTGCATTAAAAAGTAATAGGAATTTTGGGTGGCCTCTGCCTGCTGGATTTTGAAAACAGTATCAGTAGAGAGAAAATGACTCTGACAATATGGCAGGAAGTTGAAGAGGGTCATGAAGGGACTTTTTACTCCACTGACAGGAATGATGTTTTAATGTCTAAAAATAGATTCTTCTGACAGTGCTAACTCAACTACCTCCAAATGTTCAGTAAAGCTCTGAGACATATATATATATAATTAATATATATACATATATATACACATACGCATATATATGCGTATATATACACATACGCATAATACACATACGCATATATATGCGTATATATACACATACGCATATATATGCGTATATATACACATACGCATATATATGCGTATATATACACATACGCATATATATGCGTATATATACACATACGCATATATGTGTATATATACACATATGCATATATACACATGCGCGTGTGTGTGTATATGTGCGTGTGTGTGTGTATGTGTATATATATATGTGTATATATATGTGTGTGTGTATATATATATATGTGTGTGTGTATATATATATATAATGAGTTAGTGGTAAACCAGGATATTTGAAGGAGAAAATATTGCCTTGGGCCTTCAATGGATTAGATGAGGTCCATCCACACTGGGAAAGGCAATCTACCATAGTCTACTGATTCAAATGCTAATCTCATTTAGAAACGCCTTCAAAGACACACCCAGAAATAATCTTATCCAAACACCGGGACACCTCATGGCCCAGTCAACTTGACATAAAATTTGTTATCATGTCCATATAACATCAAATACTTGATGCATGAAACTTGAGTTCTGCTTTTCACACAGCTAAAGTTCACTGATGTCAGTTACAAAGATAAAGGTGCAACCTCTAAAAAATTAATTTGAAGTGTTGTTCTCTGGCTTGTGCTATAAGCAAAGAAATATTAGTCTGGGACATCTGTTAGTAGACGAATGGATTTTATTTTGTTGTTTCTAAGTCAATGCAATAATGGAAAAGACAACAATGCAAACGAATGCTTTTACAATGATAACACTAGGGCCTCATCACGAGAGTAAAAGAAGAGGAAAGAAAGGAGGGAAGAGGGAAGGAAAATACATAGACCTTTCGTTTTTGATGGATATTAAATTATGTTTCTATAATTTTTCTATTATTTTCTGGTGTTCACTGGATGCCTGCTATGGGCAAGTGCTAAATCCTCTTAGATCAATAAGTCTCATGGGCAGAAATAAAAATAAAAATAAATTAATTTAAAAGCACTGACATGGAGTAATGGGCACGCTTCTCTGTGGTGGTATTTCCTGCACCGGTTTCACAGTAGAGAAGCTTCCTGCATCACCATCACGCTAAGGAAGCTTACATCTAAAGGCAGCTAATTTCTCTCTCTTTGCATAAGGATGGGCGAGCTCTTGTTTCCTCTGAGCTGTTTTTAATATATTCTTCTAATAGGGGCCATAGCACAAACTATGAAGCACAAAGTGAACAACCAGTTGTTATGTCATCGATGGTTAGTATAGATGTTCAGAAAAGATAATCAGTCACAAAATAATATTTAGTCACTAGAATAACTAAATTTTTTAAATGTTATATATAATTCCTTTAGGCAGGGAGGGGACAGGTTACAGATTCTTATTTTTTCTTTCATGTCAGTCTCTTTTTGCTTAGTGTGATGGTTTTGTTGTTGTTGTTGTTTCTTTTTTTCCCTCATTTCTTCTAAAAAAAATAAAACCACAGGATACATGTGCAGAACCTGCAGGTTTGTTACACAGGTATATGCGTGCCATGCTGGTTTGCTGTACCTATTGGCCCATCCTCTAAGTTCCCTCCCCTCACCCCCTAACCCCCAACAGGCCCTGGTGTGTGTTGTTCCCATCCCCGTATCCATGTGTTCTCATTGTTCAACTCCCACTTACGAATGAGAACATGCACTTTGGTTTTCTGTTCCTGTGTTAGTTTGCTGAGGATGATGGCTTCCAGCTTCATCCGTGTCCCTGCAAATGACATGATTTGATTCCTTTTTATGACTGAATAGTATTCCATGGTATATTTGTACCACACTTGCCTTATCCGTGCTCTCATTGATGGGCATTTGGGTTAGTTCCATGTCTTTGCTATTGTAAATAGTGCTGCAATAAACATACGTATGCATGTGTCTTTATAGTAGAATGATTTATATTCCCTTGGGTATATACCCAGTAATGGGATTGCTAGGGCAAATGGTATTTCTGGTTTTAGATCCTTGAGAAATCGCCACACTGTCTTCCACATGGTTGAACTAATTTACATTTCCATCAACAGTGTAAAAGCATTCCAATTTCTTCTCAGCCTCACCAGCATCTATTGTGTCCTGACTTTAATAATCATCATTCTGACTACAGAGAGATAGTATGTCATTGTGGTTTTGATTTGCATTTCTCTGATGATCAGTAATGTTGAGCTTTTCTTCATATGTTTGTTGACCGTGTAAATGCCTTCTTTTGAGAAGTGCCTGTTCATATCCTTTGCCCACTTTTTGATGGGGTTGCTTTCTTCTTGTAACATTGTTTAAGTTCCTTGTAAATTCTGGACATTAGACCTCTGTCAGATAGGTAGATTGCAAAAATTTTCTCCCATTCTGTAGGTTGCCTGTTCACTCTGATGATAGTTTCTTTTGCTATGCAGAAGCTCTTTAATTAGATCCCATTTTTCAATTTTTGCTTTTGTTGCAATTGCTTTTGGCATTTTGGTCATGGATTCCTTGCCCACACCTATGTCTTGAATCATATTGCCTAGGTTTTCAACTAGGGTTTTTATGGTTTTGGGCTTTACATTTAAGTCTGTAATGCATCTTGAGTTAGTTTTTGTATAAGGTGTAAGGAAGTGGTCCAGTTTCAGTTTTCTGCATATGGCTAGCCAGTTTTCCCAGCACCATTTACTGAATAGGACATCCTTTCCCCATTGCTTGTTTTTGTCAGGTTTGTTGAAGATCAGATGGTTGTAGATGTGAGGTGTTATCTCTGAGATCTCTGTTCTGTTCCCTTGGTCTCTATGTCTGTTTTGATACCAGTACTATGCTGTTTTTGTTACTGTAACCTTGCACTATAGTTTGAAGTCTGGTAGCGTGATGCCTCCAGTTTCGTTTTTTTTTTTTTTTTTTTTTTTTTGCTTCAGATTGTCTTGGCTATACAGGGTCTTCTTTGATTTCATATAAAATTTAAAATATTTTTTCTAATTCTGTGAAGAATGTTAATGGTAGTTTGATGGGAATAGCATTGAATCTATAAATTACTTTGGACAGTATGGCCATTTCCACAATATTGATTCTTCCTATCCATTAGCATGGAAGGTTTTTCCATTTGTTTGTGTCCTCTTATTTCCTTGAGCAGTGGTTTGTAGTTCTCCTTGAAGAGGTCCTTCACATCCCTTGTTATCTATATTCCTAGGTATTTAGAAAACCCCATAATCTCAGCCCCAAAAATTCTTGAACTGATAAGGAATTTCAGCAAAGTCTCAGGATACAAAATCGACGTGCAAAAATCACAAGCATTCCTTTACACCAACAATAGGCAAGCAGAGAGCCAAATCATGAATGAACTCCCATTCACAGATTCTTTGATTCAATATGTTGCAGCTCTAAACACAGGATTTCTCAAGTATCAAGACTATTCCCACTACTTTGCATAACTCTAAAACATATTACTAAACTTTACTATGAACTTTTAGACATGAAACTAGTAGGTGTGAAAAATAAGCTAAATGAAAAAAATCCTTACGCTTATGTTCATTATATCAACCAAGGCAAATGTTACTCATGTTAATCAATTTAATTAAGGCTAACTGGGGCCCAATACACTAATTATGCCTACACATCAAAGGCAAAGTTCATTGAATGCCTAAAATAAATCTATCCTTTGTGATTACTTCTTGAAATCCTATTGTTTACCAATGTCAAACATGAAGAGTAAAACCAATGATAGGAACACTAGCTGTCATACAAGTTGCCTTTCTGCATCCTTTTGCTATAGGAGAATAAAGGAAGTATGTAGTTTTTATTTTTAATTCTATCAGTTTTATTACAGAAGGCAATATTTTGGCAATTTCATGTGAAGTTAGTTCAGTTTTCAGAACTGTCTGCAGCCTAAGAGAGACAGTAATGCTGAAGCCGCTCTCAGACTAAGGACAGCCCCAGAAATTATTTCACATTCCTCTGTTAAACTGTACAGTTTATGCCCCGCCCTCAGCAACTGACAAAACATGAGCTTCTGAGTATTCCAATTTATAGACTGAAGCAGATCAGAGGAGGAAACACAATGATTGGTGGTAGACAGCTGGAGGTGTTGCAGCCACCAGCGTTTCCAGTTGAAAAATCATGGATTTTCTTTATTAGAAAGAATATATTGTTTTCTTTCTGTGGTAAGATTTTGTTTTGCTTTAATCTCCCAAAATGAACTCCCTTTCTGATTTTTATCTCCCAGACCTGCCTAATCCCACACTAACATTAAGAATGTCTTTTAATTTTTCTCCTGGTTCAGACCATTCTGTCAGATTTATGATATTTTATATTATAGCCACTACCCTGGTCTATACATTCGTGTCCCTGTTTATCGCAGTAGACTCAACACTGAATTCTCTCCTAGTTCTAATCCAAATAGAACACCAATAGATTAACAATTGCCAAACACTGCTATGTACCTTCACTCCTCAAAATACAGAATGTTTCTCTATTATCAGAGAGCAAAGGAAAATTGTATCCTGGCATTTAAAGCTCTGTATCTAGGGTCCCCTTGTATCACTCAGCAATGGGCAACATATGCTTCTACTTCCATCAGATCAATCTCTCCTCATAGTCTCTACAAAACCACTAGCTTATATCCCAGTTCTCCACGGAAGGCCATTCTAATCTAGACTATTCTAGTTCTACCTTTCCTTTGGGTTCACTCAGTGTCCAATAATACAATTGACATGTGCGATGTTTTGAGATCTTAGCAAGCCAGGCTTAGGATGAATTAGTGACAAAAATCATAATTTAGATATTCAAGCAATGTATTAATAGCAAAAGTCCATGTGAGACTCTCACCTTCAAACACATACACAAGCAAATACATCTCTTTCAATCAAATGGGCTTAGGGTAACTATAGAATTTTGAGCCTCAGTGAGAATGGCTGGTCTTAAAGGGAAATTTTAGTTGTGGTTTTGATGGAAAGTTTACTTCTATGGACAATTAATACAGAATATAGACATAGTGAATAACCTCCTTCTTTGACCTAACTTGCCCCTTATAAAAAATCACCTTTCTTTCAGTTTTGATATACCTCTTTCCTAAGTTCTACCCTGCCATTTCAGCTGTTATCGTCTCAGTAAAGTGCTACTAACTATTTCCCTAGCTCTTCCTGTAGTTGACATAATGAGATTTCTCTTAGAAGGTCATTGGAGGATATGTTAATTAACAAGCAGAGCTGTTGAAATATTGATTCTGGCCAAAGTTCCCGCTTTAAATTAGTGTCTGTTAACCATCCCCTGATCAACCCTTAGCAATGTACTATTCTATTGTGGAGGGGTTTCTCCAATTTGTCTAGGAATTGAAATCATATTCTAACTCACTTCACATTGTTCCCTGCAATCACTGTTAATTCATTCAGAATTGTACCATTGTTCTCTGAAACAATCATGTTTTGTCTCACTCTTGTTTGCAGTGTGCTCGTAATGCACATACTCTATACCATCCACATATGACTATCAGTTAATGTCGGGGGGGCACAGTAATACAACTCAACCCTTCATACAATGTAACCACATTCTAATGATTATATTAGAACCATATTTCATGATCTTTTCTGGTCTGCATTCCATGCACAGCTGTCGAGTTTCCTAATGCATTTGTAATTACTATGCAGGATTGCACAATATTTTTTTTATTTAAGCACTGTCATTTGAAAGTACTCCTCTGTTAGGCCTTGTAAAGCCAATGGTGTATTAAGTAGTTAATCAACGTGTGCTATTTTACCCTGATGCCTATTTTCACTTTATAAAAATGGATTGGTTGAATTCTCCTTGTTAGAAAATGCCACTGCAATTACTGAATTCATTTACAAAGATATAGAACAATGATTAAGTTATATTTATTAAATATTTCCTATTTTATTGCTTATATTAGGATTCTCAGGGTGCTAAAGGTTTTTGCACAAACAATAAGTTAATGATTAATAAGAACCAACTGGACTTTTACATTGTTATGATAGTCTGGAATTATTTTTATATTTGACAAGAGAAATTCGTTCTCCTGACATTCTAGTATCTTTCTTTTTTTTAGAGATTAAAAAATAATTTTTTAGAGAATATACATCAAAAGAGGTAGAAATAACATAGGAAACAATAGGATACAAGATTCTTCTAAAGTGTAAATAACAACAAAAAGATCATCACTAAATGACACATATAATAACATAATGTCAAATATTCCAGCAACTGTAATACATGCATTTGAGAATTTGGGTTAAGAATTTGCAATACCACAAATTCATTTAGCAGGTGAGGAAACAGGCTAAGAGAGATAAAAGGGCCTGCATACTTTCACTACATTTCAATGCTATGTGCTGCTAGCTGATACTGTAGCTTTTGTGTGAAACAGAAACACGCATGTGCACATCTGTCCCAGAGGCAAGGATTTGAAGAGCAAAGCCCCAGCTGGATGTGGCTCCCATTCCCTACTTTGCGCAGTGCTCAAACAACACCACTGTATGTGGTGACATGAATTCAAAGGTGGCAGAATCTGGATTCAGACATAGGTTCATGCAGAAAAGGAAAAGGAAGACAGGATCCAACCAGGAGACCTCATACATATTTGTTCTTATCTAATATTGAAATACCAGATATTTCTATTCTTGACAACAGAAATATGTGGCAGCCATTATAGCTCATTCAATAAAGACATGAAATATTAACAACAAAAACTGACCAAAGCAATATTATGAAAGAGAAAATAGAACAAAGAAGAAAATACATCCATGGTACTGAGTTCCACAGTCTTTGCTGCAGCACACAACACTGCTGCAGGGTCCAGAGCCTCACTGGAGGAGATGAGATTGCCTAGTTCTCTAGGCATCATGGCAATGAATTCTTCTGTGGGACAGATTTAGACCACACCAGGACCAACTCAACTCCACATGAATCACTGGGCATGTGCCCTACTATCTGCAGGTTCCAGGCATACTCTCCCACCCAGACCTGAACCTAAAGCTGGAGGACCTGACTGAGCAGGAATCAGGAATGCTGTGTGCTTTGGTCATACATTCAGACTCCTCAACAATGGCAATGTTGGTTTGATGTTAGGGAGATATGGGGGAGAGACTGGCGATTGATCCCCAGTGCATCACAGAATCATGCCATGCTTCCCACCCCTCTGGAGTTTCAAGTTGCATCTAGCAGTCTGACAGCTGCAGCTCGAACTCACCAGTAACTTTGGGAATTTGGTTGAGGCCAAGCTGACTTCACTCAACTGTATCATCCATGCTTCCTCCTTTTACAAAACTACTATAGTTTTAGCTTAAATTAAAAGGAATCATTATGAAGGGGGTAATATGTAATTAAATAAAAGAGAAGGCATATATAAATGTGCATTACACACATACCCACACACACATACATATGTATCTAGCCACTGTCAGTTAATATAGTTAAATGGTGACTAGATCCAGCATTATGCAAGATAAGTGATACATTAGGAGCAAATATTTATTCGAAGGAGTAAGGATGGTTAAACAAAAAGAAATTTAATACCACAATCAACATGATCACATCATAAATGCAAAAAGACAGTTGATAAAATTCCACCACTGTAAGTTATCAAAACTCTAAGTCAGCAATAGAAGAACTTTAATAAGACAGACCAGTTCTCAAAAACAAGCAGCAAACATAATTCTCTATGGTGAAATGCTACAGCCATTTCTTGTAAATCAGAAACAAAACAACAGTATCTATCATCACTATTTACATTCAAAATTGTTTTGGCTAATCTATTCAAGTGAATTAAAAAAAGAAATAATATTTTAATTATGTGATTCTATACCTAAAAAATTCCAAAAGGCTGTGGAATAAAAACTAAGATATGTTGGAAATGTGGTAGAAATAAGATAAAGAGATAAGTTAAAATAAACTAGCATTTATCTAAAGTAGCATTAGCCATCTAAAGTAGAAAAACAAAAATATACTTTATGCATAATAGGTATAAAATGCTACAATGCTTAGAATTAAATGAGTAAGAAATATAGAATTTACTTTTAAAAACTATTTAAAAATTATTAAGTGATATAAAGCAGGATCTGAATAAAATGAAAGACATATCATATTGAATTGAAATATTTAACACCACAAAAATGTCAAGTCTCCTAAAACTAATATGTAAATGAAATGCAATTTCAATTAAAATTGTTTTGTTTTAATCAAATATTTAAGAATATTCCCTCAAAAGACAAATGCTAAAAGGGGCTAACCTTCCTAGATACTGAAGTACTATATGAGACACAAGCTACATGGTATTGGCATAAGACTAGATCAATAAATCTGAGGAAAATAATTAAATTATTTGAAATATCCACATTTAAAGATGTTTTTAAAATAGTGTCTCACAGCTTATATGTATTGAAGTTGGAGTTCTAGACCTTTTGTTTGGTCTAAAACTCATACTGTTAACCATTATTCCAACTCATTCTCTTGAGAGATCATGGTGTCATGCTCTAATTCCTCTTACAGTCCCTACCAATGTTATGCATGTCCCAAGACATATGTGGAAGTGGCCTTCAGAAGTTTAAAGGCCCTTATATAGAAGATGGACTCAGGATTTTCTAGATACAGAACCAAATATGAAGACAATAAGAGGGCATATATGAAAATAGAATGGGCTTCTTTGAAAAAGTAGTGAGCATCGTGTTAAAGAAGTCACTTACATAACAGATCTGAGATGGTAAAGAGATTAGAGAATGAGATGGCACTGAAAATTCCTTCCAACTCTAAGATCCATTGACTAATTTAATGTTAGTACTTGTCTAATGGCATACATCCACTCGACTGTGCTCAAATATTGGGTGATCATAGGTTTGCCCAAGGGTGGGTATCTAACACCTGAACTCAAATGACTGTCTTTGGCCAGGCGCCTTGGCTCATGCCTGTAATCCCAGCACTTTGGGAGGCTGAGACCAGCAGATCACGAGGTCAGGAGATGGAGACCATCCTGGCTAACACGGTGAAACCCCATCTCTACTAAAAAAAATACAAAAAATTAGCGGGGTGTGGTGGTGGGCGCCTGCAGTCTCAGCTACTTGGGAGGCTGAGGCAGGAGAATGGCATGAACCTGGGAGGCGGAGCTTGCAGTGAGCCGAGATGGCGCCACTGGACTCCAGCCTGGGCGACAGAGCGAGACTCCGTCTCAAAAGAAAAAAAAAAGACTGGCTTTTCCTGAATGCCCACATCCACAGCTTATTTGTCTTACCACTTGTAGTTCAACCTGCCTAACTATCACTATGGAATATTACACAGGTAAATCCAGCACAGAAAAACTTTCACATTCCACACATGGGCTTGAACTCATTCCAGTTAGCAATATTTCTAGCCTTCAAGGGACCGTAATTTCTATATGATAGTCATAATCTGATACACATAAAGAAGTACTAAGTATAAAATGACCTAATTGGAGAAGTGTGAGCCATAGATAAGCTAAAATGAAGAAAAAATACGGAGAAGCCTTGAAAGCATTTTGTAGCATGAAGCAACTTAATTCATCCCAAATGTTATGCTACAGTAAGTTATATGATTCTGCCAGATGCTTCTCTTTAGATTTTTATTATACCAAAGAGAGCAATTTCTTTTAATGAGAATATTTTTGAATAATATTTGTTCTTGAAACCACTGCTTTCTTTGTTTCATATCTAATGAGAATAATTTCCTTTAATTCATAGGCATTTTTATTCTTCTGATGGTTCAATCAAAATACCAATTAACTACATGCATAATATGAGAATGAAGTGGGAAGCTTCCAGCTCAGTTTCAGAAAATGTCCATCCATCATAGCAAGCATGTGATTTGCATCTTAGAGGATCCACAGGTAAAGGAGTATAAGCAAAGCTTGTGGTTAATGGTCCCAGTTTAGTATCATCTTTGGATAGTGAGCTAATGTGAAGTTCAAACAGTGAAAAAATGAAAAGTACTAAATAGTGTATGTCTCTGGTATCATAAACTGTAAGCAACATGCAGACCTTAATCTCAACGCAGAGCATGGAATATTAGGTCCTGGTTTCAAAAAAAATGTATATAAAATGTCTAGTGATGCAGGCCATGTATATACAGAATGAATGGATCTGTTTACAGAGTATAAATTTAGAAAAACGCCATCATTTAGTATTTGAAAAAGTAAAATCAGATAGCAATTTGCCTCTAAGAGCAGTAAGTAATCCAAAATAAAACTCAAAACAGAAAAATTAAACACTTCTCAAATAGACAGTCATGGAGGTGATGTGTGGAGGACAAAACACAAGGGACAAATCCACTGCTAAGGGATAAATGCTTTAGATAAATGATCATGCAAGCAGGGACTCCTCACAGAGGTGAGTCACATGAATACGCAGGAAGCTTCTGAGCGCTTTCCCTCTGGCTGGAACAGGAGCTGAGCAATCAGCATGTAATCAGGAACATCTGATCCCTCCTAGCGTAATTAACCTGCCTGAAGTGTGCTACAATCTTTGCAAATGTCACCATATGTTATAAAAAGTCATAGAGTTATATACTGTATTGTGCAACACTGATTTTCAAAATGTGACATTATTGCTGCAAGTCATCTCTGATATCAAGACATCCAATTCCTTAAAAACTAAAGTATCTTTCATTATATTATAGTGATTGTATAATCAGGACCTGGTTCAGAGTAAGTGCACAAAAAATATATCTGGAATCAGTAATGGTCAAAGATGTTATTGTAGAGCTAAGCATGGTGGCATGCACCTGTGGACCCAGATACTCAGGAGGCTGAGGCAAGAAGATCCTTCGAACCCACGAGTGCAAGGCCGGCCTGGGAAACATTGCAAGACCCCATCTGTTAAAATTTATTTTAAAGTTAAAAATTAATGTAATTGAAGCAGCTATAACTTGGCATCAACAAATTTAATGGTTTTTCATTATTTGAAACAAAATAGGGCTGGAAGCTATGACTAATGCCTGTAATCCCAACAACTCAGGAGGCTGATGTGGGAAGACTGCTTCAGGCCAGGAGTTAGAGACCATCCTTGGCAACATAGTGAGACCCAGTCTTTACAAAAAAAAAAATGTTTTTAATTAGCCAGGTGTGGTGGCTCACACCTGTAGTCCTAGCTACTCGAGAGGCTGAGGCAGGGGGATCACTTGAGCCTAGGAATATGAAGTTACAGTGAGCTTTGAACATGCCACTGCACTCCAGCCTGAATGAGAGAGTGAGACCCTGTCTCTAAAAAGAAAAGCAAAGAAACAAAATCAGTTTCAAATTCAGGGGGAAAAAAGAGGCTAAAATATAAGAATAATAAGCACATATATTTATACAGCAAAATGTAGGTATACTCACAACATGGACAAGCATATATTGGTATGTACACGGAGTGAGGAAATAAATGTCATGTAATGCTTGACCTGAAAACCTTCCATATGTAACTAAAAACTGAAATAATGAGAACTAAACCTGGCAAAATATTAGGAATCTTATGTTCCCCCAAATATGGGTCTTTACAATTGTCTGTGGCCGCAAATCCAATATTGAATATAACCATACTGAACTAAGTACTGGAGAGAATAAGTCAAGAACGTTTGTATTCTTACCTAGAAAATCAAGCCTTCCACTACTAGAAGATCTTGATTAAGATCTCTCCTCCCCACAACCTCTTAGACATTGTAAGTGAGGCAACAGTAGCTGTAGCTGCCTTCCCCATCTTGCAGGCTAGCCTTACACAAAATCTAGTTCCAGTTTCCTCTCACAGCTCTGATTTATCCATCTCTCTCTGTTTTGCTGGAATTCCAGCATGCATAGCAGCTGTAGCCAAGCTGTGTTTGGAAAGTCATTGGATGACTTAAGCTTGAAAGAGTAATGACATCACAGGTAGTATATGTTTTGGAGAGAGTGCCAGCAGGAGTAATGGAGCATTCCTTGGAAGCAGGAAGATACTATGGGAGTAGTGAGATGGTAATATGGTAATAATGAGCACAGCAAGATACTAGGGTAATAGTCCAGGTGAGAAACAATACAGAACCAAATGAAAATCCCTGGGGTAATAACAATAGGAGATGGAAGAAAATAATATTAAAAGATAAAACTGAATGAGGGAACAAGATTAGATATCTAAATGTTCGCACCAGTTAAGAGATTTATTACTTAGATCATAAGGGGAAAAATTCTTCTCATACTTTTACTGCCCCAATTTTCTGCAGCTCTTTGTATCAAAATTACTCAAGATTTATACATTATCATTCTCTCCAATTCTCTTTCCAATTCTCTATAAAACTGACTTTTATCAAGATGTCACCTCTACTTCACCAAATTAATCCTGCAAACTTCACCAGTGACTTCCATTTGATTGCCAAATCAGTTGGTGAATTTCAGTCCTCATCATAGGTGACATGTCAGCAACATTTGGCGGTCTCTCATTCCCTCCTCCTTAATACATTTTCTTTACTTGATTTCCAATATACTCTACTTTCTTGGTCTTCCTTCTGCCAACCTTACTGGTCATGTTTTTCTCAGCCTCTTTGGCTGTTTCCTTCTCTTCCTCCATCCTTCTAATTGAAAAGGTCCCAGGGCTCCTGCCTCAGTTCTCTTCTTCCCTCTGTTTCACTCACTTTTTGATGATCTCATCCAATCTCATAGCTTTAAATACCATATGTGAGCCAATGACTCCCAATTGTGTATCTCCAGCCTAGATCTCTTGTCTGAACTCTAGACATGTCTAGACTGTGCTCAAAACAGCAGTTTAATGAAATTTCTAAGACATAAGACCGTGCCAGTTCATTGCTGACAACTTTATGACTGTTCCCCACTCCACTTGAAGTAACAATAGCGTTCTTAAAAAGTCCCACAGGGCCCTGAATGATCTGACCCCTCGTTGCTTCTCTCACTTCCTCTCCTAATTCTCTCACTTTCTCTGATTCCAGTCTGGCTATGCTGGCTTCCTTACAGTCCTTTAAACACACCAAGGACATTCTTGACTTACAGACTTTCCCCCAACTCTCAGGAATATTCTTCCCTAGATGTCCTCATGGCCTCTTTCAATTCTCTGTGCCAATGTCACCTTCTCAATGAGGTTTTCTCCAGTAGATCTATTTAATATAACCCACTCTCAAGCCCTATGTAGAAGGTTCTACTTTTTTTTCCCCACAGTACTTATCACATAATGCATTGCATAAATGACTTATTTATTATGGCAATGCAACAAGCATAATTGCCAGAAAGTAAACCTAAGAGTTCTTGATGAGGGACAGAGGAACCTGCCCCCAATCCTGGCTGGAGGGGCTGCACCTGAACTCAGGCCCCATGGAAATCCACATGCCCAGGGGCATCTTCTCCTGGAATGAGGGCCTGAAAATTCCCAGGGTTACCAGGTATCGAACATCTGGCTTTTTCAAAAAACAATTCTAAAATGCTGCCCAGATATTCTGCTCAAATAGTCATTCCAACAGCCAGCAAAGTTGTCCACATGCCATCACAGTAAGAAAGAAAAGCAACAGAGGGTGATGTCCCTTCACCGCAACCCAGATCCACTGCATGGCCAGCAGAAGGCCCTGCCAGACTGTGGAAGAATCAGGGGACCCATACTTCTCTCGGTGACCCTTGCCTTACAGTGTGTATCAACAAAGCCTATTCTACCCCTGCAAGGATGTAGAATCTGCCCTTATTCCACACACAAGTAATATGTTTATTATTTCTTTTATATTTTTTTCTCAAAAGAATGTAAGCTCCACAAGAGCAAGTAATTGTGTTCCATTCTAAGTGACAGCACATTGCCTTGTACATAGTAGATACTAAATATTTGGTTCAAAAATCAAAGAAGACTAGAGATTTTTTTAGCCAGTGGGTGGGGTAAATGATTTCATTAAATAAAATAATAGAGAAGGAGGAGAAGGTTTAAGAAGGAGTAGTGACTTAACTTTCTGACTTAGATTTTGTATTTCTGAGATAGAAATGGTCCCTTCTGAGAAATACTACAATTGTCTATGCCTTCCAGATAAACCTACCTGAAATCCTTGAGCTAAATTTCCTGGTGATCTGATTAACAAAAGACCATATCCTTCCCATCTGTATTAGTTAACTATTGCTGCAAACAGATGATCCCAAAATTTAGTGGTTGATGACAACAAATATTTATTATTGCATAGATTCTATTTGTCAGAAATCAGACAGTAACTTACAGGAAGAGTCTCAGCTGAGGATCTTCTACAAGGTTATGTTCAGGGAATCTGCCGGGAATGCAGTCATCTCCAAGCTTCACTGGGTGAGGATCTGCTTCCAAGCTCAATCATGTGATTATTGGCAGGCCTCAGATATTTGCTTCCAGGCTCACTTATGTGGGCCACTCCACAGGGTGCCTCATAAGAGACTCAATATTTAGACAATGGGCAGACCATACATAAAAATAAAACTCTGACCCACAAGCTGCCACAACCAGTTTGGAAAGCCAAACCATAACCTCTGCAGCAAACCATCCAGGAAGTCAAACCACAGCCTCTGTAGCAATCAGCCCCAAATGGCCAAAACTTAATCAATAACTGATAACCTCCAATTTTTTGTTTGCTGTTTCCAATGTAGAGCCAGCTAGACAAACCCAAACATGTTTCCCCTAACCAACCACATATGATGCCCTGCTTCTATTTATTCTTTTGACAGTTTCCCCATGCCAACAGCCTCTAACAACCTGAAGCCTTTCTTTTTTTCCTCTATTAAGCTTCTCTATTCCTCTGCCTGCCTTTGATTCTCTGCCAAACTCAAGCAATGATGACTGACTACCTTGCTGTAGCAAGCTCTGAATAAAGAGGCTTTGTTTGTTCTGATTTAGGTAGTCTTCATCTATTTCCACACTCAACACATGACAGCTTCTCTCAGAACTGAGTCAATTAAGTCCAGCCTACACTCAAGTGGAGGGTGTTACACAGAGGTGTGAATACCAGGAGGTGGCGATCATGGTGGAGGCGGTGGGGGACAGGTGGTAATTGGAAATGGCACCATATAGTACTACCTAAGTCTTTGATAAACATCTCGAGGCTGCTAGACCCAAATTTGTTTTGGATCTTAAGTATAAATTTCTACTTAGATTCCTTGAAAGGGACTACTCCTAGATTTGTTCTATTTTCACATATATTGTAACTTAACACTATTTAAATGAATGGTATATCTTAGAAAGAGCATAATAAATATCCTTGAATATTCATAGGCACATTTTGGTCTTTGGCTTAGGGACATGTAAGCAGAGCTGTGCTATGTGACCATAACCAACCATCTGCCTGGCATTAGTATTCCAAGGCTGCCACTGCTCCCAGCTTCCAAGAACTAACATACAGGGCCCACAAGCTTAATGTTGTTATGCTTTGGCCCCCAGAGTATTAAAAGTATTGAATCTAAATGCCAAGGGCACTTCGCTACTGCCCTGAAAATCCTCACCAAGCTCCCTATTGGCTTGCACCTGACACTATACTCATTTTTGTTATTTTCTGGTTTTTCTATGCATTTGTATTTTTAATCACTGTGTGAATGTAATGGCTTTAGAAAGTCATATATATGAAGTACTGGCAATTACAAGGCTATATTTAATTTTTGTGATTGACAGATTGAATCATTAATTCATTCATATTTATTTACTTATTCAACAAATGCTGCTGGGTACATGATGCTGAGTTGCTACCTAGAGTTTGAGACATAAAATAAAAAACACAGATTACAAATAGTAAAAAAATGCAGTACATGATATAAAGGAAAATTACACAATAGCCTGATAACACTAAAATGGAGTGGGGCACGAAGTATTTTAGAAAACCAAGGAAATTGTTTCTGCCACTAGTGTCATGAGCTGAGATCTAAAGATCAGAGCAGAAGGCAGGAATCAGCAAGTGTGAAGGCCCCGAGGTAGGAAGTAACTTTGCACATTAATGACACTAAGAGAATCCAGGGTCTGGCACACAGTACATATGAGGGATGATGGAGGAAAGTTGAGCCCGGAGAATCAGGCTGACAGACAGACCCCACAGAGCTTAGGAAGCTTAGCTAATAATGGCAGAGATTACTTAAGAGTAATTATATTAGTCAGAAACAGTAATTAAACAGGGAGCTCATTAAACATGATTCAGATGCAATAATTAAACATAGATACTATAATTAAACATAAGCTGAGTATAGCAATTCAAATGGCATTAAACAAGAAAGGTCAATTTGGGTGCCTAATTGGATTGAAAATTTTAACTTTGGAATCAATTATGTGAATTAGTTGGCCTTATTAATTAAATCTTGGAACCTAACAGATCTTTGAAAAAGAATGATTATGAACTTATTCTATCCCCCCAAAAAATTCCCCCAAAATATGAAACAATCCAATTTGAAAACAAGAAATGTGCTATGGCTAAGGCCATAACACCAATGTTATGTTTCTATTTACTATTATATTTCAATTGAATTTTATCAGTATTACATAAACTATAGACTTGTTCACCCTTTAGGAAGAATTTTTGAAAAGCATGAGGTGCTATAAACTTGTGATAGGTGGGAACTAAATCAAGTTTTGCTTTCAGATCTGATTTTTTTCCCTTTCAATGTGCTTGCCCTACTCCAGCCTCTCATAAACTTAAATATGTATATATTTTAATATGTATTTATATGTTAAAAATATTTTGTAAAGAGGAAATTCTTGAAGACAATGAAATGTATTTTGTGTTGCTTTCTAAAACATAAAAACATAATGCACTGCTCAATTTCATAAGATAATATTTGAAAATATCCAAAGTAGGCATTACTCATGTTGCTATTCCTTTTTATACAAACAGCACTGTTCAAATAATACTCCAAACAAATGTATTTTTTTAAATTTTTAAAAGGAACCATACTTTCTACATGTATGCGTAACTGAGTCTTTCTATATTGTTTACATACTATCCATGGTCTTTGATGTGTGGCTGCCACTAATATTTCCATGTTGATGCCAGACCTCTACCACTTGATCTGTGACAAGTTATATAACTTAGGCAGGATTTTTTTTTATCAGGTTTAGTGAGTACCTCAAATTGAAAATGTCCAAACTTGAGTTTAGCATCTCACTTCTCTACCAAAATGTCTAAATCCTACTTCTCTTTTCCTAATCTAGGGTCTCTCAATATCCATGTTTTGGGTGGGATAATTTTTTTGTTGTGAGGGCTGTCGTGTGTACTGTAGGATCCTAAACAGCACCCTTGGCCTCTACCCATTAGATAGCCATAGAATCCGCAACCCACTCTGAGCTGTGACAACTAAAATTATCTTGAGACATTGCCAAAGGTCACATGGAAGGCAAAATTGTCCCCAGTTGAGATCTACTGGCTAATCTTTTTCTTTTAGGTTAATAGCACCAGCATCCATCCAGTTTCCCAAGATACACTGACTACCATCTTGGATTTCTCCCTTTCCTTTACTCTTCTCATCACTCCATTTCGAAGAGATGACCCTTCACCCCAGCAGCTTTCCTAAAACAAGTCTTCATCATCTCTTATTAATTACAGCACTCAACTAAGGAGTCTCCCTACTTGCAGTCTCACTCTTTCAGCCATCTTCTTTCTCCTGCCAGTATGATCATTCACAAATGCAAATCTAGTTGTATCATGTCCTTGCTTAAAACATTCCATGGCTTCTCAGCACCTGCAGGAGGAGTACAAGAGTATCTCATATATATTTAGTAACTTTCCCATGTCCCACTGCCAATAAGAAGTAGAGCCTGGATTGTTCCCAGGTCTCTCCCATTACAAACCCTGAGTTCCTTTTTGCTAAACTGTATTGCCAGCCTTCATCGTTTAGCCTTTTATCACCAGCACCCAGCACTGTTTCTAAAATATTACAGATGCTCAACAAATATTTGTTGAACAAATGGACAAACATTATGTAATTTGTTGAACACATGGACAAACACAATTGGTATAGCAGGAGAAACACTATGTGATTTTTAAAATTATCCAAAAATTAATACTTCAAAGAAGAGAGCATTTCATTTTGCTTTAGGCCAGTCGTGGATTGGTCGTGGATGAAAAAGTCAGAAATGCCTTAACAGAAGTTTTGAGATTTTTATCTGGGTCTTCACCAAACAACTGATGTGATTTCATGAAGTGGAGTTTCTCTGCTACACATATTTTTGTTGTTTTTTAAAAAATTATTTGTAACATCTCACATTTATCTTACTTTATGCTAAAGTCTTTGAAGAAGATCTGATTCCCACTCAACACATAGTTCTCCTACTCTAGTACGCTGTGTAACAATTAGGCAAATATTAGGCTATGGTCCATTTTACATACCCATCCTTACTCCCAGATCTATACCTCTGCAATCATTGTTTCCATTCTCATGATGGATACATTCTTGAATAGCAGTTTATTTGGTAAATCATTGCTTGCCATTCAGCTTTAGGTGACAGTCATGCATGATGCCAATATGGCTATTCCAAAAACTTACACTTTACATCTACAGAAAGCACATGCAACTAGGTAGAAAATAGGACAATAAATTCATCTGTCAATGTAAGTGCCTTAATTACTCCACGCTGCCTCTGTTTCTGTTATTTTTGGAAAAAGAGTACAAAAGGCCTTATTGCCTTTCAAACCAGTTAGTAAAAGTAGTGAGAATTAGGCAAGTATGGTGAATTTTGAAGGGGCAAAATACAGCAGAGGGGCTGACTCTATGGGAAGCATTTCTCAGCTGACACAACGATCACTAAAAGGATCCTTGGGTATACGCACATCGCCTCTGTTGTGACTTCTGTTTATTCAGGGCTCTGGTCAATGATACAATGCTGTGCTGTTCAGTTAACAGACTCCATAGTTGTTTTCACCCCATAAGAGAGATTCCTCTGGGAGTTGAACACCGGATACCAGTCTCTCCTGACAGACTAGCAGGTATCTACATTTGGCAATTGACTCCATAATTTTTAAAAAATGTATCTTTAGCTGACAGGCATTTTGAATTTTTTCCCCCAAAGTCAAACATAGGGCACTGTTTGTTTATTATTGTTTTAGAACTCATCCTTAGTAATATTCTTATCGATATTGTGTATCCTACCAAGTGATAAAGATCAAAACTTATATTTTGTTCTCTACTTAGTAGAGTACACATTATAAAGTCTACCTAGTATAAAATATTTGTTGGTTTTGACTTTTATTAATTTTTAAATATCTTTTGAGATATATGATTATATATGATTAAATGCCTTTTGAGATTTTATTTTATGATTTAAGCTTATTTTTATTACAAAAGTGATATATTTAATTTAAAAATCCCTTTCAACCATATATGAATAACATTACACATACAACTTAACTAATTATAACTTATATTTAGTTCCATATATTTTCTAACTTTTCCAATCTTGAAGGATTAAGATTGTTCACAAATTTTAGTATACATACATATGTGTACACACACACAAACACACACAGAATTTTCCCTAAGAATTGTCCTAGCATACAACAGTTACTCTACAAGCCATCTTGCCAAAATTCTGCAAACTATTTTTAAGTTCATTAATTTTATTTTTAAAATGAAAGAATGAATACAACCTTCAACATACACAATCTGAAATAATCTAAATCTATATGTAAAAATTGTCACTTACTTGATCACTTTCTTATTTGTACCTGATACATGGAGACCATTCATTTAATCTGCTGGTCTCTCAATAAATATTTATTAAGTACTCTGAAGCAAGCAAAAATCAGAGACATTGATTCCATTAACTGGATTTCAGTCCCAAAGTAGGAGAAAAATACATAAGAAAATTATTGCAATACTGTGTTACAGATACAATTATAGAACAATAAGCAATGCTTTGATAATATAATAAAGGAAATAGTTGATTATCTCTGTATGAGTTTATCTGAGGTGAAACAATGGCAAAAATGGGCCAAGCCCCACCTGGGCTTAAGCCTTAATAATAGGGTAAAAACACCCAAGCAATAAAGAAAGAAGAAATTACCCTGTAAATGTGAAGAGCCAGGCATTGTGCTAAATGCACTGCAGTAAATACAATTTGCAATAGTATTTTGTTTCCAAAACATTGTTACCGTAGAAACATTAGAAACTATTAAAAAATGAAGTCAAATATTAAAATACTCACAATTCAACTAACCAGAGACAGTGTATAAAGTATATCCTTCCTGACATCGTGTATGCATGTATATATGTATGTGTTTTAATATTTCATATTATATAAATATACTGTGTTCAGTGACTGAGTTTCATGAGTGATATAAATATCTTTCTACAATAGTAAACAATAATCCACAAAATAATTTCATCATTATTCCACTATGCAAGTATCTAACTATTTACTTACCGAATCCATTATTTAAGCATATTTGTGAATTTTCCATTTTTAAAAAAATTATACAGTGGTCAATGTAATGAGTGTCTTCATACAAGTATATTTAAGCACATGCCTGTGTTCTTCAAAGTAGAATTTCTGGATCTATGTGCAATTTTAAACATCATGGAACATGTGTTGCCCTACAGAAAGTTTATATTAATTCTCACTGTGTGGAACCAGGAATTCACCGATATGGAACCAGGAATCCAACAATATTCATGTTAGGAAGTGAAACTGCCCTGGTAAATATCCAACTGAAATCTATGGGTGCCTCTAAAATCTCAGTAGCTGGTAATGCCTTCTTAAGTCACATTAGAGATGCATTTAACATATGAAGTAGAACAATGGTTACCTGAAGATGGGGGGCAGGGATGTGAAGATGGGTAGGAGAGAAGAATGACAAAGGGACACGAGAAAATTGTTAGGTTTAGATTTTTTTTTGAATGGATATGTTCACTATCTTGGTATTGATGATGATTTTACTTGCTTATACATAGGTCAAAATGTATCAAACTGTACATTCAAATTATGTGCAGTTAATTGTATGTTAATTATGCCTGAAAGCTGTTAAAAATTCTAAGTCTAATATAAGATGTGATTTAATTAATCATAACTTGCCTATGATGTTTTAACTTAGAAACTGATGGAACTACTAGACAAAGAGGAAGGGAGAAAGAGGGGGAAGCTAGGGAGAAGAAAAGTGTTCTCAACATTGTTCTGGAAAAGGATTCTTTGATTGATTATGTTTTTTTGTTTTTGTTTTGTTTTGTTCATGGAGAATGGGGTGTCCATTCCCTCAAGCATTTATCTTTTGAGTTACAAACAATCCAATTACATTCTAAGTTATTTTAAAATGTACCATTAAGTTATTATTGACCATAGGCACCCTGTTTTGCTATCATATAGCAGGTCTTATTCATTCTTTCTATTTTTTGTACCCATTAACCATCCTCATCTCCCCTCTACACCCCTACTACCCTTCCCAGGCTCTGGTAACCATCCTGCTACTCTCTATGTTCATGAGTTCAATTGTTTGTTGATGGAAATTAAGGCTGTGGGGGCGGAGATAATCTTATAAGGGTTTATTAAAAGCCAAATGTGAGGATCAACCTGGAAAGACACACCAACAAAGTTGGGGGTGTTTTGGAGTCTGTCACAAGGTGAAAGGTTTTTACAGGAACGTTTGAAAAGTGGAAGAGGCAGTCCTCATTACTGGAGTTGTCATCTTTTTGTTAGAGAATACAATACAGAAGTTACAGTCCTTAGCTACAGATGACATCAGACAAACTGAAAAATGTCTACATGCAAGACAACGAGTAGAAATTCATGCTTCAGATATTCTTAAATAAATCAGTGTCCTATTGAGTGTCAGCAGGTTATACGTTGATCAGCACGTCAACAATTTGAGGAATTTGAGATAATATTCTTTAGCCAGAGACAGAATGCCACCATTGTGTCAAAAGATCTCCCCAAGGTGGATTAATTAGGAAGCCTGCTTATTCCTAAAGTAAACGATCAACTGTGACGACCTGTAGGTTATCAATATGAGCAATACTCTGTAGAAATTCCCTTTAAGTTGACCAAACTATAGTAGGTCCTCCTTACATGCAGTTTCAAGTTCTGTGGTTTCAGTTACCACGGTCAACTGGAATCTAAATTAAATGGAAAATTCCAGAATAAACAATATATAGGCTTTAAATTGCTTGGCATTCTGAGTAGTGTGATGAAATCTCCCAGCATCTCACTCCATCCCTCCCAAGGCATGAATCATCCCTTTGTGCTGTATATCCTACCTGCGTTTAGTTGCTTAGCCCTCTGGGTAATCAGATCCACTGTCCTGGTATCACAGTGCTTGTTGTGTTCAAGTCACCCTGATTTTACATAATAATAGCTCCAAAGTGAAAGAGTAGTAATGCTGGCGATTAAATATGCCAAGAGAAGCCATAAAGTACTTCCTTTAATTGAAAGGTAAAAGTTCCCCACTTAATAAGAAAAAAATAAAAATCATATTCTGAGGTTGCTAAGATCTACAGTGAGAATGAATCTTCCATTCATGAAATTGTAAATAAGAAAAAAAAGTGCCAGTTTTGCTTGTGCACCTCAGTTTACAAAAGGTATAGCCACAGAGCATGGTGAACGCTTATTTAAGATGGAAAAGACATTAGATTTGTAGGTGGAAAACATAAATGGAAACATGCTCTTATTGATGACAATTGAGATCAGGACTATCAGAGGTTTCAGGCATCCACTAGGAGTCTTGGAACCTATTTGCAGATAAGGAGAGACAATATTTGAAGCAGTGTTTCTCTGCTGAATTGCATAGGAATAGCCTGGATCTGCCTATTAATATATTCTAGAGGCCAGACCTCCTAACTCAGAACTCCAGAGTAGGAGCAAGGAATCTGTATCTTTCTAGTTCCCTTAACCAGTTTCTTAAGAAAAATCCAAATCTCTTTAATTCATTGTCCAACAAGCAACCTACTTCTCCATGACTTAGTCTCCTGAGAAGATAATTTGTTATCAGTCATCAGGAGAGTGTGCCATTTGAAAACACATGTTTAGAATTCCTTAATTAACACAGCACATTTTCCTTAATTAATATAGAACATTTATCTTTATAAATCTTTTTTTTTTTTTTTTGAGACTGAGTTTTGCTCTTGTTGCCCAGGCTGGAGTGCAATGGCACGATCTTGGCTCACTGCAACCTCCGCCTCCCGGGTTCAAGCAATTCTGCTGCCTCGGCCTCCCAAATAGCTGGGATTACAGGCATGTGCCACCACACTAGCTAATTTTGTATTTTTAGTAGAGATGAGGTTTCTCCATGTTGGTCAGGCAGGTCTTGAACTCCCAACCTCAGGTGATCCACATGCCTTGGCCTCCCAAAATGCTGGGATTGCAGTCATGAGCCACCGTGCCCAGCATAAATGTTTTCATAAGTCAAAGTGACCAAAGTGCACATAGAGTTAAACATGAGTCATCAATAGAAATATCTGAGATAGACTAGGAAAGGGTAATATTAATAAACTAATGTGAATCTCAAAACTACAATACTATCAAAATATTTATCAGATATGTTTTTATTCAGAATGTGAGTAGACCTCATGTGCCTTTAATGAGAAAAAAAAATGTGTCTGTAATTTGAGATGAATTGCTCTTTGACCATTTCTACAGAAGTTTTAAAGCCACATGCATTTTTGGGGTACTTACATTTACCTAGTGGTATGGTGAAATTCATAACTGTTGGATGAAACTCTTTTTATAACCTTTATATATTAAGGCAGTCAGCAAACTAATAATGCACTCTCATAAAACTCTTGCCAAATATAAATCACTACTGAGAACCCAGCCTGACATTTGAATTACTTGAATTTATATCAATGACTTACTGAATATTCAGCAATGTTAGAAATATACTCAATATTAATAATGACTTTGAAGAGAAAGTCTTGCTTAAAATTGCTGGATAGAAGGCACCAACTTAAGTGAAAGCTCTTTTCAATTTCACCATGAAATTTTATAATTTCATTAAAATTAAGAAAAGATTTTTCCCCCAGTTGAGAACAAATGGTTTTTAGCCTTCTGTGCTAAAAAAAAAAAAAAAAAAAAAACTTATGGGAATTTTGTTTCACAGATGTTCACAGTTCTTTTTCTAATTGCTTTCCCTGGAGCTTAATATGAGTAGTCAGTGATAACTGGGACAGGTTAAAATTGTTTTATTGATGTTAATTAAGTAAAGGTTGAAAACTAAGTTTCTTCAAGTATATTTTATATTCTCCAGGAAATTTTACTTTTCTTCAAAGTTTACTCATCTTGTTTTGTTTTCATTTTGTTTTGTTTTTCTACATAAAAGAACAATTGAAAACAGATGAGAAAGCTAGTTAAACAAAGATGATCTTGGTATACAGTAAAGATAAAATAAAGGCAGAATGAAGAAGTATATTTTGTGAAAAAAATATATACTACAAGTTTACATACTATAAGGTTACATACTACAAGATTCTATTTGTATACCTTCTTGAAATGACAAAACTATAAAGATGAATAACAGATTGGTAGTTGGAGACATGGACACAAGTGAGAGATGGGTATATTGATGAAGGGTAGGATGACACTGTCCCTTTTAGGTAATATATTAGTACTATATCTTCATTCTGGTAATGATCACACAAACTGAAACATACAATGAAATTGTATGTTTATATAACATACATACTTCATATACATACACACAAGTACACATGAAAATTGTTAAATACTGAATAAGATTTGCAGTCCAGTTCAGAGTATGTCCCCTTGTCCATGTTCCAGTTTTGTATTGCACTACAGTGTGTGAAATGTCACCAACTGAAGGAAGTTGTGTAGAGGGATAATGGGACTCTATGTGCCATTTTCTACAATTTCCTGTGAGTCTACAATTATTTCAAAATAAATTTTTAAAAAAATCTATGTATTTTATAAATTTGAACATAGTAATCAGTAGCAATAAATTAAGTTTCTGGTGACTTTTGACTGCCTGGGAATGTAGGTGATATGTTTGAGATGATCAGAAGAATACAAGCCATGTGGAGTATACTAAAATGCATTTGAGAAGGGCACTGGGGTGAAGGGCAGCCACATAAAAGATTTATCCAGTCATGCTACAGAGATGCTATAACTCAGGTAAACAAAAGGCCCCTGGGACTGCTGATCAATATAGACATTCTCTGCATCGTAACATGCTGTGGACGGAACAACACACTGGGATTGCAAATATAAGTCCTGTTTTCAGTCACAAGGGCAGTTTTCAGCATAATCCAGAATGAATAGCACTGAGAATTGATTAATTTCATGGCAGTTAGTGATCTCTAAGTAATATCAGAAAGAGGCAACTAGTAGTGTAGTAATAACAATGGCTCAGCACTTTCTATAGCCTGGACACTGTGCTGAATAAGAGCTTGTATATTCACAAGAAACGTGTGTAGTAGTTATTGTTATTACTCCATTTTAAAGATGTGAAACCAGTCCCAGCTGTGTAATGTGGTATATCCAATGTAGAGGATGGTACAGAACAGAGAAAGATGTCACCCAATGGCCTCACTCAAGAGTTGTATTAGTCCATTCTCACACTGCTATAAGGAACTGCCTGAGACTGGATAATTTATAAAGCAAAGGGGTTTAGTTGATTCACAGTTCCACAGCGCTGGGGAGGTCTCAGGAAACTTAAAACCATGGAAGAAGGGAAAGCAAACAGGTCCTTCTTCACACGGTGGCAGGAAGGATAAGTGCCAAGCAAAGGGTGAAAAGCCCCTTATGAAACCATCAAATCTCATGAGAACTCACTCACTACCATGAGAACAGCGGCATGGGGGTAACCGCTCCCATTATTTGATTACCTCCCACTGGGTCCCTCCCATGACACATGGGGATTATGGGAACTACAATTCAAGATGAGATTTGGGTGGGGACACAGCCATCCCATATTCAGAGTCCACACTCTTGATACCGCACTGTACTGATTCTCAAGTTGTACTGATTCTCATAGTGGGAAGGATGTTTTCCTTTTGCTCTGTCTCCACAGTCCTCACACACAATGCCTGGCACAGGAAAGATGCTCAATAAATTTATGAGAAAATCAATGGTGGTAATATATCTGAGTGTACGTGTGTGTGTGCATGCATGTGTATGTATGTTTTATGGCAAAAAAATCTGTAAGACTATACAGTAAAAAGTTAACAGTAACTATTTCTGGATGCCAGAGTTATAGAAAATTTACTAATTTTTTTGTTTCTGTGAGCCTATACTTTCTACTTTTTACAATAAATATGTTATAAAATAAAATAATAAAAGTAATCTGAAACTTAAAAGGCCTTATGGATCATTGTTTCAAGAAGAATCAATTTATATATATCAAAAAATACAGCTGAATTTTCTGTTGTTTAAGATGTAAGAGTGACAATCTCATATTTTACTTTAGTTTTTAAATGGCACTTAATTCACTTCTCCACTCCAGGAAAAAAAAAACCTGTCTTAATACAATTAAAAACAGTATCATTTTGCTTTTCATGGAAAGATAAACAGTGCCACTCTTCCAATAAATCTTTATGCCCAACACATTGCACATGTGCTCCAGTGTCTAGGATCATGCCTGACATAAAATCAATTTGTAATAAATGTTTGATAAATGAATGAAAAGGCTAAAGGGAAGCATCCTGGAATCAGGATAGCACTGTGTATGCTAAAGTATTTTTCATACTAGCATACAACACTAGTATATAATCTTATTAAGAAGTTCTAAGAAAAAGGGATCACCACTGAGTGAGTAACAATTTAAAGAAAGCAACACAGAGGAGGCTCCTTTAGCAGCAGCAGCAATTACCTTTCAAATTTCATGACTGACTCTGCAATCAGAGAACAGGATTACAGGCTCTCATTATTGGCCTCAAATTTACTTAAGTGTATATGTTTCTTTAGAGGATAGTTGTATAGTCCCTTATACAGTGTGTTAGAAAGAGTCCTCTAGGAAACAGATGCCAAGATGGGAATGACTAATTTGCAAGAATGTTATTAGGGGATGTGCCAATGAAAGAAAATTGAGAGGGAGCCAGGAAATGCTGGCAGAGCTTTCAGACCATGCTACAGGCATGACCCAGGCTGCAGGAGAGAGGAAGGGAGGGTTAGAGGAAAGGTTCTAGTCTGCTGTGTAGTCTAAAGAAGATTCAGCAAAACTGTAAGGGCAGCCTGGAGCCAAAGTCAGTAGTCATGGAAGTCCCGTTTTTCCTAGGAACAGGCCAGACTTAGCATCCCTGCCACATCACAGATGCCCGACAGGGGGCAGCACGGAAAGGTGTGGCCTCAGGAGGAATGCAGAAATGATGTCAGAGCTCTGGGCCTGGGCCCTCAGTCAGGTCAGCTTGCTGGAGTTGGAGGTCTGCAAGGCCATTGCCATCACTACTACACATAGAATGTAAATCTAAAAGGTTCTATTAAATAAAACATTCAGAGATAACTTTTTGTTTTAAATAACGACAAGAAACATCGGTTTAATAACAGGGTCAAGCGTGGAATGTGAAACCTGCTGTCGATGACAGTGCTAACCTATAGAACTTCACCATGCACTTTTTCCATGAAGCAATCAGCATCTTTCATGGCTGATTTATACAGAGGTGCACATTATATTTATTAATGTTTGCCACATGTATACCCTGCACAAAAAAAACAGGGTAAGCCCTTAAATATTACATGAATGAATGCCATAGGTATGTATTTCACACACACACACACACACACACACACACACACACACACACACGCATATATATATTATCCTTAGCAAGTTGTTTCTCTTATAAATATTTTATTTCATTACCTTGTTTTAATATCTTATTTTTAATGGATAATAATGATTTTATGGATGTTATAAAAGATTAAAATAAAGTTAATATTTTCAAAGTGTCTGATGATGACTGATAACTTGAATTACAGAAGCTTCCTAATTCTTCTCCACTTTTACATACATCCACCCATGCTCTGTGACAGACACATGCACACATTCTCATGAATTCTATACCTCTTTGAAGTCTTGTTTCTGATCACATTTATATCCTTTCCCAAACACCTAGATCATGTTGTCTTGTAGAGTAGATTTGGGACTTTTTATATGCTATACCAGAAGCATATATTTAAGGTAGAATCAACCTTTCTATGTCTTTTATGTATCAGATTACCTACCTGCTTGCTGGGCTAACAGTATGTGCTCATTAAATATTTTATTGACTGAAGAAAATAAAGCCATTAAACCATTATGTTAGATCAAGAATTTGCAGTTCTTTATTTCATTTTGTCATTTAAAAAATATAATTTATATTCTTAATTATTTAAAATCATAACAATTTTGGATAGGTATCTAAATGTAGATAACTATATATATAGTATAATCATATTTAATTTTCTGATGTATAAATTATACTGATAACCATAACACAAAATTTATTTCATTGTAAATTTTACATATAACAACAAACAGTAAAAACACATTTCCTTAAATGTTAAAAAAATATATATTTTCATCCAACCATAAGAAGGGTTCCTTTTCCAAATCAGGAATCCTTAAAATGGCTTTAAAATGAATATTTGTTAAAGATAACAGGTTGCATATTTTAGGGAAAGATCAATTTTTAGGGTACTTTGCTTCAAATAACCTGAACCATCTTTTTTCCTAATATAAGGTTTCTGGGCTACAGATTTGAAAACCATTTTTATGAGAGCCACTGCTGAGTTTAGCCACTCCTCTTTCATATACGTATGTTTAATACAGCATTTGGAAACCAAAGAACTACAATATTCTTGCTTTATTTTTATTTTTCCTTAGGAAATGAATGAGGTTGACCTGTGTGTTACCTGCTACCAACATGTTACCCAGTCATTTGGGCCAATGATCACCTGGAATCTTGGTCTGCATCAGTGCTATCCAAAGTGTGTCAGAAGAACACCATTAATGTTACCAGAGGACTTGTCAGAAGTGCAAATTTGTGGATCCCCCAGATATGCTGAATCAGAGTCTCTGACCCAGAAGTCTGCATTACAACCAGATCTCCAGGTGATTTTTTTGTATGCTAAAGTTTGAGAAACATCAGCATAGAGGACAAAGTGGGCATCCCACAGATACATACAAATAAATGTGGATGACTGACTAGACTTCAGTTTTCATGTAAAAATTTCAGTAATACATAACGTAGTAGTAGGATAAGGAAATCCTTTCTCAAAGTGACCTCACACTATCTTACGTAAATTTGTAGTCATTTAGAATAAATTGTAATGAGGTCATAAATTCTCATGAAGTAGCTAGTAACAAAGGGACTTGAGGGTCCTACTGTCAGGAAGAGGGGCAGTGTCTGGTTCTTCCCCCTGATCTATACTGAGGAGATTAACTGAAGTTTAGCTATATTTAAGTGTCAAGTTTATGGAGTTAGGGTATAAAACAATGACCAAGAAAAGCTTGATGAAAGTCAAGACCACATCACTAAGCCCAAGTGAGAAACAGAGAAGTTAAATTCAAAGGTAAAATCGGGGGCAGTAAGGGTGAAATCAAGTACAGGTTTCAAAGTCAAGATAAAAAATACTGAGGTCAAAGATGGCACTACAAAACAGTTAGAAAAAAACAGGATATTGAACTAAACTCACAGGAGAAAATTTGAGTCCCTGAAGTACCTGTTGAAAGAGCTTCTTCTAGATGTAGCCTCCCACTCAATTTGTCTTGATTCCTTTTGTCTATCCCAGGGCAAGGTCATGCAACAAGTGGTAAAGCCAGGAAATGAAAGCAAAGTTTCTCAATTCTTCCATTCAGCCATATTTCAACATATAAACACACAGCTTTATGAGCACAAAACCTGGTATTCCACTGAACTTCAATCATTTAAATCCACCATTGCCCAATGAATTTGGTTTAAAATATCTTTCTCATGTTGAGTAACAGTCTTTAAGTTATTATTCCCTAATAAACAGCACATTTTAAATTTTTGCCAAAACTCATTCCAGTGCTTTTTGCCATGACTTTTTCAGAGTATCTGTACACAGTCACAAAATAAATGGTATTTAAAGGTATACTGGGTGTTATTTTTTTAAAAGAATTTCACAAATACAGAAGAGTTGCTTTTTAATAATAGCTAGGAAGGTTTTAAAACAAAAGACAGGTTAAGATAACAAAAATATATTGCTCTGCCATCAAACATATATAAGTAAATAAAGCACATAAGACATCTTCCTGTTACAAAGGGTAACAGGAAAAATATAGATATTGATTAGTAAAGGATGCGAATGCAAGAAATAAAAGGCTACCAAGAGAAACTGAGGCAGAGATCACAGAAAACTGAAAATGAAAAGAGGAGATTAACAAGTAGAGAAATACCTGGTGCCAAGTAATATGATGAAATAATATTTTTCAAATTCCCATGACTGACAAAATATACTAGTTTCTTCATAAAGCTGTACTATTCTAGAGCCAGTCAGAGTGCAGATTCAGGAGTCAGAACACCTGCATTTGCATCCTAACTCTGCTACTTACTGTCTATGCGACGTTGGATATTCTCTGTCTACCCTCTATGAGAGGTAAACTGAACAGGGTTGTTGTAAAATTTCATATATATAAAGATCTTAGAAAAATGCCTGCATATACCCAAGGCTCAATTAGTGTTAGGTATTGTTCAAAAGACACACATACTATAGAAATATAATGTGAGCCACATACATAATCTTAAAGTTTCTAGTAGTCACAATTAAAAATAAACAGGTAAAATTAATTTTACCAATATATCCTATGTAGCCTATGTCATGGGTTGAAGTGTATCCCCAAAAATTCATATGTTGAAGTCTTAACATATGAATTTTAATTCATATGTTGAAGTCTTAACATATGAATTTTAATTCATATGTTAAGCTCAAAATGTGACTTTTGAGCTTGCCTCAATAGCTCAAAATGTGACCTTTTTGCAAACAGGGTCATTGAAAACAAAATGAGTTAAGTAGGATGAGATCATATGAGTGTAATGGAGACTCCTAATCCATTATGACTGGTGCCCTTAAAAACAAGGGGAATTTGGACAGAGACAGGTACACAGGGGGGAGGCCATGTGATGGTGAAGGCAGAAATTGAGGTGATGCTTCTACAAGCCGAGGAATGCCATTGCCAGCAAGCTGCAAGAAGCTAGATAAGAAGCATGAAGCAGATCGGTCTTGGACTTCCCAGCCTCAAAAACAGTAAAGATGATAAATTTCTATTGTTTAAGCTGCCCAGTTTTTGGCACTTTGCCACAGCAGCTCTAGCAAATTAATACAGCCTAACATCACCAAAATATCATAATTTAGCATGTTATCAACATAAATTATTATAAATAAAATATTTCACATTCCTTTTGTCATACAAAGGGCCCAAAGTCTGGTGTATATTTTACATCATAGCATATCTCAATTTGTAGTAGTTACATTTCAGTGACTCTCCCAGATTGGACAATGAGGCCTTAAATTATCCATGATGTTAAATTTTAAATTCTAGTCTTTGACTACATCTTCTATCTTACAGAACTTGTGCTCTTTCATTGACAATGGAAATGCAATTGATTTTGGAATTACAGTTTTTTTTATACCAATCTACACTCTGTTCACCAAATGAGGCTTTATCTTTTTCTTGCTCCACCCTATAATGTACAACTTTCTTACCCCTTGCTTTTCTGTCATTCCTATATTACAAAACCTTATCACTGAATCATTCTAATCATTAGTCTCCTCCATCCCCATGCTCAGCCTATGGTATACTGCTAGCGGAAAAATAACCGAACACCATAAGAAGTGGAGTGCAAAATATTCTAACTCAATGTAGCTTCCAATATCAAGGACTCAACGTACTTATGTGGCAAGCAGGAGCTTATCTTTATCTGCCACCATGATTCTGATTCCCTTCCTGTCTCTGGAAAATTAAGAATTGAGAATTATTGTCCAAAACTCAACAAACTACTTGAATATTTACATCTGATCACCTCCCACATCCCCAAGACCCATGCACTAGCAATCATCCCTCCAGGCTTTTCTCTCCAATCAATAGTTTCCTTTCCAATGCTTCTATAATCTTGGAATAAAATATGCTCCAGCCTCATTTACTTAAAAAAAAAAAAAAAGCTCTTCCTTAAACTTGACATCCTTTCTAAGTCCTCTTCCCCTTCCACTTCTTACTCCCACTGCCATCTGGTTTTCACTTCCATTATTCTTCTTTCTGGTATCAACAATCACCTCCATGTCACCAAATTCCTTTGAAGTTTTGGGTTGATCTTTATAGACCTTTCTGTGGTGGCTGACAATGTTGATCTCATCATCATTCTTGAAACACTCCCACCCCTGGCTTCTGTGACAACACTCCACTCTAGTTTTCCTTGTATCTCTCTAGCCACTCCTTTTCAGTCGCTTCCTGTGTTACTTTTCTTCCCTTGGATCCCAAAACTAAGTGTGTGTTGTGTTTTTCATCCTCAGGCCTATCGTCTCTTCACTGTGTTTACGCCTCTGTTCCTCCTCCTTCTCCCAATGACTTTATTAAAACCATAGCTTCAATCAACCAACTATCATTTTTGAGTTACAGATTATGAGTTAAAGATTACTCTTTTAAGAAAATGTATATTTAAGAGCCTGCATTCCTTGAAGTTTAGAGAGGTCTAATCTATACACTGATGACCCTCAAAATTATTCAACCTATACCACTCTTGAAATTACTAAATTTTTTACCAAATATCTCCTCCTAGATAGGTTCTAAATTATTTCAAAATACAAGTTGGGCCTCCTGTTAAACTGCCTACATTTGTGAATGGCATTTACCACCAATCCAGTTAATCAAGCCATAAACATGTAATTCCTTTGCATTTAGAAATCATGTTGTTTCCATGACTTTAGCCTCTTGTATTCACTCTCTGCAATATATCCTTGTGTCAGCCTTAGTTCAGTCTTCATTATTTCTTAACTAGCTCTCTTCAATGGGATCCATGCCCCTAGACCACCCAACTCCAATTCGAACTCAGTGTTCCCTATAGCTTCCAGGATGACTCCTTAGAAAAGCATCCAATGTTCTTAATCAAGATCTCACCCTCTTATGTCTCTAACTTGTAGGTAACTCCTGATAAACTAAATATGATACCATGTACTGGGTGAATAGTGTTGATGTTCTATAACAAAACAAAATTTCCTATGAAGTGCAAACCTTTAGAAGAGAATATTTATGTATTTTATTTTTAAGTTCCAGGACATCTGCAGTATGTGCAGGTTTGCTACATAGGTAAATGTGTGCCATGGTGATTTGCTGCATCTGTCAGCCCATCATGTAGGTATCAAGCCCAGAATGCATTAGCTATTTTTTCTAATGCTCTCCCTCCCCTAACCCCACCCCACAACAGGCCCCAGTGTGTGTTGTTCCCCTCCGTGTCCATGTGTTCTTGTTGTTTAGCTCCCACTTATAAACGAGAACATGCAGTGTTTGGTTTTTTTGGTTTGTTTGTTTTGTTTTGTTTTGATTTGTTTTTGAGACGGAGTCTCGTTCTTTTGCCCAGGCTGGACTGCAGTGGCGCTATCTTGGCTCACTGCAAGCTCCGCCTCCTGGGTTCACGCCATTCTCCTGCCTCAGCCTCCCGAGTAGCTGGGACTACAGGCGCCCGCCACCACGCCTGGCTAATTTTTTTGTATTTTTAGTAAAGACTGCGTTTCACCGTGTTAGCCAGGATGGTCTCGATCTCCTGACCTCGTGATCTGTCCACCTCGGCCTCCCAAAGTGCTGGGATTACAGGCGTGAGCCACTGCACCCGGCCGCAGTGTTTGGTTTTCTGTTCCTGTGTTAGTTTGCTGAGGATAATGGCTTCCAGCTCTATCCATGTCCCTGCAAAGGACATGATCTAATTCCACTTTATGGCTGCATAGTATTCCTTGGTGTATATGCACCACATTTTCTGTATCCAGTCTATCATTAATGGGTATTTGGGTTTATTTCATGTCTTTGCTATTGTGAATAGTGCTGCAATGAACATACGTGTGTGCATGTATCTTTTTTTTTTTTTTCCTGAGGAGTCTCGCTCTGTCACCCAGGCTGGAGTGCAGTGGTGCGATCTTGGCTCACTGCAACCTCCACCTCCCAGGTTCAAGCGATTCTCCTGCCTCAGACTCCTGAGTAGCTGGGATTATAGGTCCTATCTTTATAATAGAATCATTTATATTCCTTTAGGTATAAACCTAGTAATGGGATTGCTGGGTCAAATGGCATTTCTGGTTCCAGATCTTTGAGGAATCACCACACCATCTTCCACAATGGTTGAACAAATGTACACTCCTACCAACAGTGTGAAAGTATTCCTATTTCTCTGCAACCTCACCAGCATCTGTTGTTTCTTGACTTTTTAATAATTGCCAGTCTGACTGGCGTGAGATGGTATCTCAATGTGATTTTGATTTGCATTTATCTAATGATCATGAACGTTGAGCTTTTATCATGTTTCTTGGCCACATGAATGTCTTCTTTTGAGAAGTATCTGTCATGTCTTTTGCCCACTTTTTAATGGGTAATTTTTCTTGTAAATTTGTTTAAGTTCATTGTAGATTCTAGATACTAGACCTTTATCAGATAGATAGAGAGCAAAAATTTTCTCCCACTCTGTAGGTTTCCTGTTCACTCCAATGATAGTTTCTTTTGCTATGCGGAATCTCTCTGTATTTTAAACATAAAGTTAATTCTATATAAATACTTAGAAAAAAATTAACCATTCATTTGACTTGCTTTAAAGAACAGAAAGCTAGCTTTTATGGGTATTATTTATATTTCTTCCCAAAAGACAATGAAAAAAAAAAGAGTATGAGAACCAAAATATAGCAACACAGGGACAACTTGACATAGTGAATAAAACCCAAGCCTTGGAATCTGAAGGACTTAGGTTTAATTCCTTGCCTTGTATTTTACTTTATATTTAATCTCTCTTAAACTCGTTTCCCTTCTTTGTAAAATGAAGACAATAAAGCCTACTTTTCAGGGTTGTATCAAGATTGAAATCAAATAATGCTTGTGAAGAACTTAGAAAACACCTGAATACTATATGTCCTCCATGAATAGGAACACAATGAAGAAAATAAATGCATAATATGTTGCTAGAGAGCCTGGCCACCATCCCTTTCGGCCCAGGACTGTGACTGCGTCAGAATGACTCTATTTTACCTACTGCAGGACTTCTTGGGTAACAATGAAAGATTAAGTGCAATTGAAGTTAGAAAAAAATCCGTGAAGGATGCCAATTGACTCAATTAGAGTAAGTTCTTAGACTCCAGGGAAGATATTTAGAGCAACAAGGAAGTATCACTTCTTTGACGTCAATTACGATAAATGCATGAGCAAGCTATATCTGGTTACCATGGGGGTAGTCACATATCAAATCATACCAAATTTCTTTAGAAATAACAAAGTGAACTAAGAAATTCAGTTTATGAATCATCAGAAAGTTTGTTTCTGTAACATAAATTAATCTTCATGGGCCCTCTACTCTGAAAGTATTTGCCTATAGTAAGAATGTCCCAGACTTCATAATCAAAGCTTCACACTGCTATTTTTTTCTCACATTTGAGGTGGAACTGGAAAAACATCTTGCCCAACTCAATACACTTATATCTGTTTACCTATAATAATTATTTCTTTAGACAAACTTTAAAATATTCCACACACCTGTGCTGGGGAAGAATCAAGACAGAGGGACAGAAGAAAAGATAACTCACATTTTTTCTAAATTTAACATATTACCCACTAAAATAAAATAAGGTAAAGTTTATGGCAGTTTTTCATATACTCGCTCATGCAAAGCATGTAGAAAATGCTATTCATACTTTGTTCACATTTATCTTTACTTTCTTTAAGCATCATTGCCTTTTTGTATTTTTCAAGTAAGAAAAGAGTTCAAATTCAGTTAATTTACTTATTTTGTTTTGCTGAATCTCAGCTTAACATACAGATTAATTCATCCCAAAAGCTAATAAATAATTTTTTAGAAAATAGGACATTGAGGTATAATACGTTAGCTAACGGGCTTTTTCTCATTTGGGGTATATTATTTCCTTTAAAAATGTGTCCTTGTTTAAAAAATTTTTTGAATCCAATCCTCAACTTAGAGTTCTACATTAAAGCAATAACTAATATATTTGGAAATGTCTATTGTAAGCTGGACATGGTGGCTCACACCTGTAATCCCAGCACTTTGGGAGGCTGAGGCGGGCAGATCACTTGAGGTCAGGAGTTCGAGACCAGCCTGGCCAATATGGTAAAACCCCTTCTCTATTAAAAATATGAAAATTAGCCGAGTATGGTGGCACATGCCTGTAGTTCCAGCTACTTGGGACGCTGGGGTAGGAGAATTGCTTGAACTGGGGAGGCAGAGTTTGCAGTGAGGTGAGGTCACACCGTTGCACTCCAGCCTGGGCATCATGGTGAAACTCCGTCTCAAAAAAAGAAAAAAAAAAGAAAAAGAAAGAAATGTCTATTGTAAATCAAAGAAAAGTAGTAAAAGGCATTGGCAATAGATCAATAAGGAAAAATACAAAGATTTAGAAATGAGAAAACACAAGAAAGTCTTCATAATTTATACGTATATGTGACTAGACTTGAGGTTTGATATACGAAATACCAGGAGCCAGAAGGTACACCACTGTCCACCTGGTTTCTAGGTGAGCAGCCCCTTTCTGTGCTTGTTTTCTCTCAGCTTCGCTTTTTACTCCTATGTCAAAGGCAAAACAGAGATTGCTTCTGGGCCTTGCTGTTTTCCTACATTTGCCTTTGTCATGAGCTCTTCCTTTTTCTCTCTGCCTGTTGATTCAATTATAGAGCTATCCTCTATTCAGGCATAAGACAATTCCTTTCTATCAAGTATAAACAAATCAGGCAGTCACATTTATAGAGGGAACACAGGAGAAGCAATGGCTGACAGCCCGCTTCACAGAGGAGTTCTTGAAGAATGAGTAGAGTCTTCATCTCAGTCCAGTGCTGTGCTCACTCTCATGGTCTTGGAAAACAAAATCCAATTTAGGCATCAAAGTTAAACTTCATTTTTGTAGGTCAAGATTGCTTCCCACCGAAGGTCCCCTTGAATTCTCTTTTATGGCCAATACTGTTTTGTACCACTCCTTTCTCTCTTCGCCTTAGCAGTGGGACTTTTGGATAGGTGGATTCAATATTCCTCTTATCTGTATCAGGGTTTCCCAGCTCTTTTTAAGCCGTTTCTCCTGTTCGTCCCTATTTTCAGTCCTGTAATAGCTTTTCTTGAACTCAACTATCACTTCTTGTTCTTTCCAGAAATATGAATTCATTTGGTACCTACTTCCTTTCATCCTACATGACTATATCCCTTGTCCACAGACAGTAAGCACAATAAAATAAAAGATCCACTGTTGCCTGGGAATGTCTTTTTCTGGAAAACATTTAACATTTTTAAGGTCACCCATTCACAATTAAAATGTAAATCTCTAGGCTCTCGCATGAATTTATCCCTCACTCTTTTAGGGGAAGAGATATTTGAACCTGACCACAGAAAATAATGTAAGTACACTTCATGAGAAATACAACTTTATAACTCCTAAATCCAATTTTAACAAACTTTTCTCAGCCTCTTATATTCTCCTTCATTCCCAGGTCCCAGAAATAGGTAAGAAGGTTTCCTATGAAAACCTTGTAACTGTCCTTCAACCTGCCTGTACAGACCTCAACCTTTCTACAATATATTTAAGATGGAATTTTCTAACTTATAGTAAAAGGTCAAACTTCTTGAATAATTCAGCACATTAATTTTAATTAAGAAATGAGTCATTGACATAAGGCACATTCATTAATTGAAAGAAGAAATCTTGATTGTTTTTGTTTTGTTCGTTTGTTTGTTTTAGAGACAAGATCTCCCTCTGCCACTGGAGTATAGGGGTACTGGATCATAGCTCACTACAGCCTCAAATGCCTGGACTCGAGCAATGCTCCTATCTCAGCCTACAGAGTTGTCAGGTCTACAGGCACGCACCACCATGCCTAATTTTTTTTTTAATTATTTTTTGCAGGGACAGTGTCTCACTTTGTTGTCCAGGATGGTCTCCAACTGCTGGCCTCAAGCAATCCTCCTACCTCAGTCTCCCAAAGCACTGGGATTACGGGCATGAGTCACTGCACTTGGTCCTGGAAGCAGAAATCTTTTCAGTCAGAATTTTAGCAGGAAAACATGCCACTGGGAGATGTACTTGGTACAGTGAGGCAGATCATCTTACCTGTAAATTATTCTTATTTATCCATGGTATATCCATGGCTATAAAATGCCACTATAAGTCTACTGTAATCACAGGACAAAAAGACTTATTGTATAGCAATTTGATTTTGTTTTAAAAGGAGATACACACAAATACACACACACAAATACACACACACTGCACACACGTGTATATACACACACACATAATGTATGTAAAATATATTTATATAATGTGTATACACTATATATGTTTTTAATGAAAATAGGATTTCCATATTATATAGATTATAAATCATAGGCTTAATTCTACATGTTCTTGACACAGTCATGATGCTAAAGGATAAAACAACATATCTGTGCCATTTCATTAAAATCAGAAAGAAGGGAAAGATATATGTAAATGGTGCTATCATTCACATTGCAATTTTTTAAACAATAAAATTGAAGCATAAATATTGGAAAGATTGGAAAAATGATTTTTGATGTATCATATAACTTGAAAATCCCAAATACTAAGAAACTATACAGAATACCTAACGCTGTTAAATAAAAATATAAATAAATTGTATAGATCCAACGGCAACAACCAAAACAGAAAATAAGCAATAAGAATGTGCAGAAACTGTAATGAAAAAAACTATAAAACTACTGAGGGAGATAAAAGAAGACTCACATGAATGTAGAGATATCATCTTCTTCTTGAATAGGAAGACTCTACATTGTAAAGATGTCAATTTCCTCCCTAAATGAAATCTATAAATTCAATAAAATCCCAAGGGAGTGAAAAATATGAAACTGACAATATAATTCTAAAGTTTATCTGCAAGTGTAAACCTCTGAATACCTGGCTTCAGTGTATCAGTGGGGAGAAAAAAGATAGGCAATTTTCAGGAAGTAGCAGTGGGAAACTAATTATCTTCTTGGAAAATATAAAGCTGAAACTCTACCCCACAGCCTTCACTACAATACATTCAGGTAATTTAAAGATATCAGTGTAACATAATATAATAATAAAGACATTGAAGCAAAATATTCATTAGTATTTTAATTGCTAGAATAACCAGATAGCATAAAGGAAAATGCTGATGATGAAAACATGCCCACCAACAGGAAGATGTTTAAAAATAATATACTGTATCTATAAAATGAACCAGCACATTCATATTTCACATAGTAGTACATGGGTATTTACATTAATTTGAAAAATACCTCTAGGATAGTAGGTGTAAACAAGCAGAAAAAGCTATCTGGAGAAATATACACCAAAGGTTAATGCATGTTACACATGAATTGAATAATTATATCCAATTCGTATTTTCATTTTTATAATTTTCTGTTACTGGAAACTTTTACATGAGTTTATATTAGGCTTCTATACAAAATAAAAGGGCTTTTTCTGGAAAATACATTCATTAAAATACCTAACAGAACATTAAAATAGAAATTAAGGTTGGAGGCCCTAGTCTGGGTTCTCCACTTAATGGGGATGCAAATCTGGCCAAATCACTTCCCTCTGTCTCAATACATTAATCTTCCATTCAATTCTCAAGTCTTACTCTACTGCAAAATTCTGACTTCAGAGCATAGCATCCTATGCACATATAGGGATTAAATTATATATTCTGCAACACATAAAATGACAAAATGAGGGAGAACAAGTAGTTAAAGAGTCTAAGTTCTTAAAGCTCAGGAAACAAATGTTGGCGACCCCAGAATGGAACAGTGGCAAGAATGTTGTTGTGAATAAATTATTCTCTGTCTCTTCAGCCTAATCATATGCATTTATTAAATGGAACACTTTTTTTTAACAATGTAATCTACTCCTATGCTACTTTTCAACATTAGTTAAGCCCTATAGCCATCACGATGCTCACATAATTGGTAATACTGGTATATAAAACTATATTAATTTCAAGCTCCAGTAGAAACACAGAAAGACATCAGTATTTATCAAGTGAAATAAAGATGGTAGGAAAAAAATTATTACTCCCAAAAGTATAAACAGGGTACCATAAATAATAGAACGTACTTGATCGGAAGAGTGAGCTAAATTAGGTGATTTGTTTTAAAAGATTTATGAGACTTATGAGACTTTGGTCAGCATTTATTTTTCTTCTAATTCAACAAGTATAAACTCAACTTACATCAAGATTATAGAAAAAAAAAGAAACTGTTCTTTCACAAATCGACTGTGTGACCTAAGCTAATATCTTATCTTTTCTCAGTTTTAGCTTATTTAACCATCCCCCATTCCCCCATAAAAATATTAGGTAGGAATAGACAACTTCAAAGACCAGTTGTCATTCGAAATCTTGATTCTGTATTTTTCTTTTTCCACTTAATACCCAACATATTTTATATTTACTGAAGTGTCTTATGCCTAATCAACCTTAGCAATTTTAGAAATAGATTATTGAATAATAAGAATTTTTACTATTATAAATATTAACAAAATAATCCACACTATCAAGAAATATCAGGATTCTCAAAGGTGAAGTTTGAGGAAGCCAATAAATGATGTCCTCATTCCCTACGCAAGCTTGACACCAACTGAGAGATAATCTTAGGAGTCAGGCAGATGGAGAGCAAATGTGTGCTTTATTATTCATAAAAGCAATATTGGTGTTTAAGGATTAGATTTTCAGCTAAATGAACTTGCTAATTATATCTGGCTAATTTACTCTAAGTATGAGTAGGTTGAGCTAAGGATGCTCAACTCCTTTTCCAAAACCACCCATCAGGGAAGTCATTATCCTCATCTGAGAGTAAAGAGTAAGGCAAAGAGTGGAGAGACTCAAATTCTTACTCTAGTAGATTTCATTCCTCATGGTTACATGTAGCCCAAGGAAAGGAAGATTCTTTGCCCTGAAAGTCCCCAGATGTTGATGTTGAAATTTCAAACACGGTAAATTGGAAGTCCAAATATCAGTTAAAGTTCTTCAGTTTCTTATTCTTCATGATGTCAACCAGACGAACACTCAACCCATAGGTTAAACTGGATTTTTTCAGAAACTCCAACCTGAGTTGTCTTCCACAAGGAACCATCTTCAATTTAAAATTAGTTTGACACCAAAATCACATATGTTTCTCACCATTTAAGAATTGGCAGAGTGAATAGAACATACAAGACTGTTATGACAGTGGCTCCACACTCACAAAATTTATAAATTTATGCAATCTCTAGCCATTAGGTTAGTTGTTCCAGGAAAAATGGCATTCCTAGAACCCAGTACTTACCCACTACCAAAGACCATAACAACACCCAGTGACATCTGAGGAATAAGGAATAGATTCTCAGCTTCACCAGTATGACATCCATCTATGTCAGATGTCCAGAGGATGTATACTGGCAACTGAAAATCAAGAGCAATTTTGCACCAAGAGGGTACAGTGGGCCCTTAGCATTTGCAACACTGAAGGAGGAAATTCATCTATGTCCACTGTCTTCTCCCAGAATGGTATTCTTGTTTTCCTACAAATTTAGAAATACAGAACGACAGCAAATCCAGTCATCAAGTCTAATTTGTAGCATCTTTGTTTTCATTTCTGCATAATCAAAACTTCTTGATGCTCATTTTCATTTGAGCCCCATATTTCTAGCATCTTCAGGTTTAGTCGAGGGTATGCTCCACTCTAGGCCATGGAGGCTATGATAACTAACTCTCACCAGAAAATTGTTAATCCCTAAGAAACCTGTCCTCTTTGGCCTATTCCAACACGGGTTTCAGCTGAACTACCTCGGCAGAAGATGCAGATAATCTTTCTAAATTCTGTTACCCTGGGGAATTAGGGAGGACATAGCCCTGTGTCAGGATCCTCAGGTGACCATTCAACAGCTTTTGATTGTTTTAGAAGTTAGGCAGCATTTCTTTTTTGCTACATGTTTTCCTGCACTATGGACCATGCCCCTAATATATCTTTTCTCTCTACTGTTTTGTACTTCTTTCAAGAGTCTCAGGTAAGTTTAAAGTGACTGACTTCGCTTTGAGGTTCCACATTTCCTTCTCTAACACAGGTAGGGCAGTGCTGCTTGCTGTGTTCAAGTGCCTTCTTTCCATTATATTTTCCTTTGTTTTTTGGCCCAGATATTTTATTTTCTAATATAACCCTCCTGTTTTCATCTTCCATAATGAAATGAAATAAACACATTCAGAATACCAAAAATTTTGGGTGAATAGATAAACCAATCTTAGACTCAAACTATCACTGTTACCTGGATCCTCTCTATTAAGCCTTGTCTTTCTTGCTCATGTCCCTTCCCTTAGATCCCCAATTCCATAAATCTCTTGGGCATATTCCCTAAGGACACAGGCAATTCCTGTAATGATGACTCACGGTAAATGTGTCATCTTGCACACTAATCATCTAACGATTCTATGATCATTTTACAAGGATATCATTTTAACATCTTAAATATGTCCAGAGTTTTCATACTTGATATAGCCAACTCAATCTCAAGGGACCTACTACGATCTTTCAAGCTTCAGTTTTAAAAGGACATCTCTCCACAGTGTCCTGGACCCATTTAGATCAATTGTACCAGTTGGCTTTCTGAGGTTTTACCTCCCCTAGACTTTACTATTTCTAGCTAGTGCTTCTGATACAGTAAGAACTAACAGAGCCTCATTTTCTAATATCTACAGTACAAACTTTTAAGACCTTGGTTGGACTTCCTTTGCCTTTCTTCACCATCTCAACTCCCTTTCCTATCTCTCCAGGTGGTTCTCTAAGTTGTCAAGTTCTTCATAATAAAAATCTCTTTCTTCCTTCAGCTTAATCAGCCTGTTTTCCTCCCTTTTGTCTTATTCTTTTACTATTTCTCCTAATAGTAAGACTGAAGAGTATTTCCCAAACTCTTTGGTTCCTCCTTGAGTCCATAAACAACTAATTTCTACCAACAGACACAGAGGCTTTTAATTGCCAGTTCACTCACTTTGTCCTGCTTGCAAAGAAAGGGAGATAAAGCCTCCCTTTGAGCGTTGCCTACCCACAGTTTTAAAAGAGTTGCAGCTCACAGTGGGGCTCTGTGGCACACGCAGTGCTCAGCTACCTTGAGATATTTTTTAACCAAAGCACTATTTGTTTTGAGGTCTAAAACACTTATTTTTTGATGTTTTAAAGCATGTCTGTTCCTTGAGTCCATACTAGGTTCTGCCTCCCTATGTAGTTCAGTTTACCAATAGGCCACATGCTCTGGCTTCCAAATGGCTAGTGATTTTTAAAGACATATTCTGTATACCTGCCAGTACAAAAACAGTCACATATGTTTGGTGAAAGACTTCCTAAAGCATAGCGTCAAGGTCCATGTCATTAAACCTAAGGTGTGAAGGTAACTGGCCAGGCCCCATCAGTTAAAAAACAATCACACAAATTAAAAAATCTGTGTAATGTAAACCAAAAACCAAAGTGGTACACTTGCCAATACCTAAGGCCTTAAGTCACCCATTCTGGCTATGCTGGTATATTCATCCCTAAATTCCACTCTGTGTCTTGCTTAAGTTTTCTGGTCCAATGCACAGGATAATGAATTTCAGTGATTCCAATAAACAGGTCCCCTGTTTCCTGCCCAGGTTCAGAACTAAATGAGTTAGACAGAAGAATCAGGCAGAGAGGGACAAAAAGATGTAAGCTTTTAAAAAACAGATGTTGGACCTATGGTTAAGTTACTGGATTAAGAGAATAAAGCTGTAAAATGTCAGGGAAGAACATATATCTCTTATTGTTAAGGGATATTCATTTAAAAAAACAAAAACAAAAAACAAAAAAACAAAAGAAAAACCTTCTTGACCCCCTTTCTTTCCTCCTCCCACATTTTCCCCAGAAGAAAAGGTGTGAATTTTCTGATTGGTAAACTTAGGAGCAGGAACTCAGCATGGGTACCTTGGCTCTATTCTTCTTCCACTATTTTACAACAGCCAGCCCGCCCAAAGAGGCTTCTCCATTCTGTAATTTGGGGACAGGCCCTCTTTGGGGAGATCTGATACTGTGCAGAGATGCCACTGACTGTAACTGGGTCTCTCCAGTTAACTGGGCTGAATCTCCCTACTTTAGCGGCAGATTGCTAGCAAATCCACCTAGCTAAAAAATCTAAATTTCCTAAATTCATTTGCATCTGTGACAAGATAATATTTTCTATATCTGTCCTGATTTATGTCTATCTCTGAACTGCTTCTATACCTGGGTAGAATGGGGAGGGAAAAATAAGACGGTATTATTTATTGAGCCCGTCGAGCCCTGATTCTGTTCTCCAATCACCTACAAACAACAAAGAAGCTAATACCCAATATTCAAAATAACATCCTATGAAATGTTACCTGAAAAAAAATATCCTTCAGAGGCTGCCCTTTACTGTTATCTTAAAATCTCAGTAGAAGTTAGTCTTCCAAAGAGGCATTACAGTTAGAGTTCTAATAATATTATTTGAAAGAAACCAAGAAGATCCTAATAAATGAATATTAATACAGTCCCTAATCTTTGAAGTGTGTTTGTTGTTTTTAATAGAAATATAGCTACAAGGAGTCATTCTTTGATCTCTAAAGCATGAATGAGTATATCAGCTCAGTGTCTCCTAGAGACTTGGAAAACACAGTAGGTGAGAGAAAATTCTGTGCCTGGCGATAAAGATGATCATTGGAAAAGGTCACAGAAAGGGAAAAGTGAGGTGCTAAAAACATACATCCCAGCCTTTACAATGTGGTGTAGGAATGGCCCTAGCTTATCTGGTTCACTGCACAGGATTTTCTTGAATACATATTACAGTGTTTAAAGTCATTTTTGCATGAATGTACCATTTTCCCACCTTTAGTAGCAAAAAGAATGATTCAAAACAGTAAGTAATCATAGCCCCAAAAGGTCCACATTCTTACTGACATTTTACAACTTTGTAGGAATGTCCTCTTATATGTTTAAATGCCTTTTAAGTCCTAGTCCTCTTTGAAAAAAAATATATACATATTTTTGAGATGTAGTTTTGCTCTTGTCACCCAGGCTGGAGTGTAATAGCGTGATCTCTGCTCACTGCAACCTCTGCCTCCTGGGTTCAAGCGATTCTCCTGTCTCAGCCTCCCAAGTACCTTGGATTACAGGTGTGTGCCACCACGCCCAGCAAATTTTTGTACTCTTAGTAGAGGCGGAGTTTCACCATTTTGGCCAAGCTGGTCTCAAACTCCTGACCTCAGGTGATCCGCCCACCTTGACATCCCAAAGTGCCAGGATTACAGGCGTGAGCCATCATGCCCAGCCTGAAAAAAAATAAATTTAAATAATTCTTTCTATGCATTTCAGATCTCAAATTCATTCAGCTTTTATGACAAGGAAAGTATAATAATGGGATGGAAAGAGTTTCAGTCTTTTGGAAATTTGCCTTCTGGAAGTCTAAGTTTTCTCTTCTGTAAAAAGTGTGGCTGGACAAAATAATTCCTGTCGTACTCCCAGCTAGGACCTGCTTCAGTGTGAACCAGAAATAATTTATTAACACATAGATAATACTTAAAAAGATAATCACAATCATGATGCCTCCTGAGCTCCTTCCATGTGGCAGAAGCCAGAGAAATCATTTTACGTATCTATTATCTGTAATTGCCACAATAACTCTCCAAAAGATATGTCATTATCTCCACTTTAGATGCTAGAAATGCACTTGAGCCCATCATCTAACTCTCTGCATCCCAGTGTATATTTCAACACTGCTACTTAAACTGTGTCAGGTGGACTAGCTGCTTATTAGAAATGCAGAATCTTGAGCCCCCTTCTCAGACCTACTGAATCAGAATCTGCATTAGAACAAGATCCCCATGGAACTGATATGCACATTCACATTTGACAAGCACTGAGAAGACAACACTACTCACAGAAATGAAAAGAAATGGACTTAGTTATTATCTTATTGTTATTTATTGATAAAGCAACTGAGACAGAGAAATTCAGCTGCTTAAAAGTTATCATAAAACTGCAAAGAGGTAGAGCCAGGGGTGATATCAAGTACTGTCTGAATTCAAAGCCCATATTGTTTCACATACCATGCTATTTTCCAATTAAAATTACTTATTATTTTACTTCAACTGATAAATGATTGATAGATGACAGATAGATAGAGAGATAGACAGACAGACAGACAGACAGATAGATACAAATGATAGGTAGCTACGGTTAAACATAGCTACATGATATGTATGATCTACCTGAAATAACACATGAGTTATGACACTTGAAATAGTCTACACTGCTCTTCACTTGAAACTAATTATAACTGCATTTAATGTCATTCTTTCATATATTATTATTAGCAGTAAAGCAGTAATAGTAATTATTATAAACTATTGTGATAACTTAATGGAAAAAAAAAGCTATAACTAGGACAAAGCACTTAAATAGGCTAAAAAATTTTAATAACCTACATTATATAATCAGATCACGTTATGGCAAAGTTCAGAATGCTGATACATAGTCGTAGATACTGTAAGGTAACATTAACACCAAAACAAATAGTTAACTTCATGCATCAAAATAAAGTTGCCCTATCTATTAATATGGTCTCTTGCAGATCATAGAAAAACACACAAAATTGATTTTATTTAGATTTATTAAAATTTTGTAAATTATACTTAATAAAAGAGTCCAAAGACATAATGTTCAAGAGTGTTGGGAACAAACAGTTTCCCTTATATAGAGATAAACTCAATTTCCCTAATAGTGGTAAACATTTACTTGTTCTAATTACTTAGAATTATGTAATACATTGATATTGAAGAATACTATTAGGAGGAACATAATATGTTATTACAGTTTTACATCATTTCCTCCAGAAGGCTACAGGCATCAAAATGCTACAGGAAAATTGTGTCCTTGGTCATTTTATGAAATCACATCTTACAAAACTTCAATGAGTCCAAGTAGACAAACTTTATTTTATATTTCAAGTACCTGTTTCAAGATTCAACCCAATTAGAGATCTCCCCAGTGTGTCATTTTTTCAGGCCAAGGACAAGAATCAAATAATCCTTTTTATTATTATTCAAACACCATCTATAGAGATTTAGAGTCTGTACTACTGAGAAATCTTTTCCTATTCCTAATAGATATGTCTGGAGAGTGACAATTACAATCTAAGGTGTAAAAGAAAAATTTAAGCAAATTCTTCCTCAAAGAAAAAAGCTCCTCACACTGTCTTCCACAATGGTTGAACTAGTTTACAGTCCCACCAACAGTGTAAAAGTGATACCATTTCTCACATACATCATGGAATACTATGCAGCCATAAAAAATGATGAGTTCGGCCGGGCGCGGTGGCTCACGCCTGTAATCCCAGCACTTTGGGAGGCCGAGGCGGGTGGATCATGAGGTCAGGAGATCGAGACCATCCTGGCTAACAAGGTGAAACCCCGTCTCTACTAAAAATACAAAAAATTAGCCGGGCGCGGTGGCGGGCGCCTGTAGTCCCAGCTACTCGGGAGGCTGAGGCAGCAGAATGGCGTGAACCCGGGAAGCGGAGCTTGCAGTGAGCCGAGATTGCGCCACTGCAGTCCGCAGTCCCGCCTGGGCGACAGAGCGAGACTCCGTCTCAAAAAAAAAAAAAAAAAAAAAAAAAAAAAAAAAAAAATGATGAGTTCATGTCCTTTGTAGGGACATGGATGAAGCTGGAAACCATCATTCTGAGCAGACTATCGCAAGGACAAAAAACCAAACACCGCATGTTCTCACTCATAGGTAGGAATTTAACAATGAGAACACCTGGACACAGGAAGGGGAACATCACACATGAGGGCCTGTTGTGGGGTTGGGGGAATGGGGAGGGATAGCATTAGGAGATATACCTAATGTAAATGACGAGTTAATGGGTGCAGCACACCAACGTGTCACATGTTTACATATGTAACAAACCTGCACGTAGTGCACATGTACCCTAGAACTTAAAGTATAATAAATATATATATAAACAAATAAAAAAATAAAATAAAATAAGCTCCTCAATCACTATGTCTAAAAACATTATTTTAGAATGTAACTTCATGTGATATCGACCGCCAGAGCAACTGGACAGGGCAAAGGCAGGACTTCAGAAGAACATGGGGCTCCCATAATATATCTTCCTGCGTGCATAGAGAGTTCTTGCTTGTTACAAAGACCTTTTATACAGGGTAGCCATTTGACCTTCACAAGAAACCCTCTAGGCAGGTAGGCCTGGATAATACTGTTATAAACTGAGATTCAGAGAAATTCCATATCATGTCCTAGACTCCCATGGTCAGTACATGCCTGAGCAAGGACCAGGCCAGGTTTTCTGTGCTTCTACCAATAAATAGTGCCTCTATTTTAGAAATATGTTATTGACTTTATATGTCAAGCTGATATATGATATTGATTTGTGTTCAGTGTAACAAATGTCTCTCCATGCTAGTAACCTTGAAGTATAGAATTTCAAAAGACTCCTTTTCACAAAGACAAGTTAGAGTTCTTTTCTATTCTAAGATTTTAGGTAAAAAAGAAAAACAGTCATCATAATAATTTTTCTTAGGAAACCAGTTATTGCTTCTTAGAAAACCAGATATTGTTTTAGAGTAAAATACATTGTTTGTTATTAGTAGGGCCTTAAGCAGTTAATGAGGCCATTATCACTTCAAAAATATGCCATCAGTGAAATTGAAAGACTAAATATCTGCTTAAAATTGGATAAGATAATAGATTCATGGAGAGTAAAATTGACATTTGAAGGTGAGGAAAATGAATATTTAAGTTCACATACCACATAAGGCACTTCTTCTGAACTGATCAATATGTTACTATTTTCAATGAAAACTCTATGTATTATATTTATCTATATATAAAGGATGTACAGTGGGTTTTGATAAGTTTCTCCAATTCATTCTCCCTAAATAACGTGGTTAAAGACGTAGTTCTGATTAAGTGTTAGATACTTTAGAAGTCTTTTTCACACTAGGCTTGTTCTACCAAATAAGGCACTTGCTTGTTTCAAGGACTTTATTGTGAAGGCTGTGTAAATTTTAAATTATACCCATAGCCTTTAGATATTAAGTCTGTTTACTTCATTTTTCTCTACCCATCTCCCTTCTTCCACTCTCTCTACTCAAACACTTTTTCCGCACGACTAAATGACTAGAGATAATAGCCTAGGATATATATCCTTCCATGCCTTCTCCATGCTCAATAAAGAAAGACAAAAGTTATACAAATCTATCATTCTTCCTTTGACTTCATTTACAATATTTTTGTAAAACAGTGTTAATTATTTTACATTAAAATATGTCTAGCTTTTCTTTAACATCTTCCAAGTTTCCTGTCTTGATTAATCAGGTCTTCTTAACTCCTGTGCTATGCATATATAGTAGCCTAAATCTTCTTGTAGGAGTGTTATTGATTTTTTTTTTTTATGTTGCATGTAGTGTTTCCTTATGTCATCAATCTCTTTGGCCTATGTAGTTTTATGCCCTTTCTCATTCCTTAGCATGTGTAGGGTTGTTCCCTCCCTTTTTTCTTTGCTTCAACAGGGTTCTTATTGATTTTCTTGAATACACAAAGAAAAATAGTTTTACTTTTTTAATCCTTTCTATTTCACTTTTATTGCATGACTTGAGGTCAGTGTTTCTCCTTATCTACTTCATTTTTTGTTTTTGTTGATTTTCTTCTAATTTTTTTTAAAAAAGAAAAAATTCCTTTCTTGGGTCATTGACTGAAATTGTTCCTCAGAGTAGAGCTTTTATTGAGCTTATTTGGTTATATAAAGTATTCTGCTTTACAAATGTATTCATAATAGTTTGTAATTTATAATACCTGTTTCTAAAAATAGCTAGTAATTTAGCATTTCTGTTTTGATCCATAATTAACTTAGTGTGATTTTTAATTTCCAATAGTTGAGGAGGTTAGGTCTCCTCATTTATTACTAACTTTATTTTATTATGATAAAACATGTAAGTTGTAAAATGCAAAATTTCTATTTTTAGCAGTGTTCCTATAGTCAAGCATATGGTTGATTAATTTTTATAGATATATAAAATATGTTCTACTTTAAAGTACACATTTCTATACATAGATTTTATATGATTTTCATTGATATAATCTGAATCTTCTATGTCTTCAATTATTTCTTCTATTAGATCTGATTTCAGAATAAACATATGAATATCTCCCACTATAACTATATTTTCTATCAAGTTGTCCTTGGAGGTTTAATAGTTCTTTCAATGTGTTTTTGGCAGCTATGCTGTTTGGTGTATTCACACTTGTGATACTATATTTTCTTTGAAAAGTAGGTATTTTGTTATTACACAATGTCTCTCTACATGTTGGTAAGTGCTTTTGACCATTTTGTCTGATAATATCACCACTCTTGGGCTTCTCATAAATAGAATACAATAGGGGTAGATTTTTGACAGTCTAGCTCTCCATACATTCTGAATTCAGCCTGTTCACATTTAGTATAGCAATTGGTAGAACTCCTTTTATTTAGTTGGCTTATGTTTCCTTTTGAAATTTACATTCTTTTTATTCCTGTTCCAGTGTTTTGCTGATCTGGTCAAACTGCTAATCGTTCACTCTTTCTTGCTCATTTGCTTGCTCTTCGTTGGTTTGGAAATTCCACTCTACTTTTTCATTCTGTTTTATTCTCCCTTTACTACCACTTGTAATTAAATATTTCTCAATTATTAAAAAGTGTGATTTTCTTATCTCTTAGGACAATATATTCCCTGCCTGCTTCCTAAATCCCATTACCATAAGATACAACCTTTATAATACTCTTACGTCCCATGCAGTCTTGCCTAAATTAGACATTTAGAGCATCTGCTATCTGCTCTCTATTATCAACTTGTTATATAACTGAGCCAAAGAAGGTCCCTCTATATTGGTCCTATGTTGTTATCTGCAGAGCAGATTGGTATTGTTGGCTCAGAAGCCTGCCAATGCCAAATTCAGATTTTTTTACATATGAAATTATACTAAATGCAGCCCATATATGTAGTTTTTAGCCATTTAGAGACTGCCTGTTATGCACAACCTATGAAACTTCACCCAACATCTACTAGCCATAAATAAGATAAACCCTGGTGCCATAAAAGACCCCAAACCATTGCTTCCCATGGAGTTCTCTGACCTAGAGACTCTCTGCTGTGCTTCTGAGTGATGCCCCCTAGACGCAGAATCCTCCTCTCCCCCAGGAATCCTCTTGCCCTCATCCCCTTCTGGGTGGTGTGTTGCACCATGGTCTCGAGAAGGTCTCATGCTGTGAGGGACTTTCCCTTGCATACAAACCTGTCAGACTGTCACCAAATAAATCTTGCTGGGCACCACTGACACTTTGTGGATTGTCCTTGAACTCACTACACAACTCGCATATTTTGCTTAAAAAGTATAGTACATTTAGCTCTAGATTATTAAGTTTTCCTTTGACATCCTATAATTTTCATTAACCATTACTTGGCATTAAAATAATAGCTATTCCTTTCCCCCTATTATTATCCATTTAGGTATAGATGGAGATAGATGACAGGCAGATACAGAGATATAAAGATATTTCAAGTCTTATTCACCCCTGTTTACTCTCTCCTCCTCCTTCTTCCCCTATCTTGAGGCCTCTGATCCATTATAATATTGTTAGAGTTCATTCTCAAGCAATTATTCCTCATGAGGTAGACAGATGATAATGTATTCCTCAGCCTATGAATCATGGAATTCAATCAATTCCTCTCTGAATCACTGAATATCTGCAATACCTTTATTCTATAAACTACCAGCCAAACAGGTAAATTTTATCTTAGCTGGATATTGGATTCTTGTAGTAGTGGACTTTTCTCTCCATAATCTATAGCTGTCTTTCAATCTTTCAACCTTCTTCAAACATGCCTCAACCACCCATGCACAGGTGATCCACTGCTCTGATTGCTGTTGAAAATCACAAAGGCATCTCATGGCAGACACAGCTGCTGGAAGATCGCATGGCATGTGTACTGCTGTGCAACAGATCAGCTTTCTTGACTTAGTTTTCACGCCAGGCTAGAGAGGATTTTTGTCTTTTATATTTCTAAGAAAATATTTCTTCAATTCATATGTAAACTTTTTTATAGTACTTCGTGAATATTTTAAACTGAGAAAAAAAATCAAAATCCTAAACCACAACGTCCTAACAAAAACGAACATGTTCAGTGTATTGCCTAACATATAAAAAGCCATAAAACGCCTTTATGTACTCTGAAGTAGAAATGACATTTCTATATCTTACAGATGTTAAGATGTAGACTTACACATGCAGTTGCTCATTGCAGACAAAATGTTAAATAATGGAAGATTGATAAATGATAGCACACTGATATGGTGTGATGATTAATACTGAGTGTCAACTTGATTGGATTGAAGGATGCAAAGTACCATTCCTGGGTGTGTCTGTGAGGGTGTTGCCAAAGGAGATTAACACTTGAGTCAGTTGACTGGGAGAGGTAGACCTACCCTCAATCTGGGTAAGCACCATCTAATCAGTTGCCAGGGTGGCTAGAATAAAGCAGGCAAGAGAAGATGGAAGGGCAGACTTGCTGAGCCTTCCAGCCTTCATCTTTCTCCTGTGCTGGATGCTTCCTACTCTTGAACATCGGACTCCAAGTTCTTCAGCTTTTGGACTCAGACTTACACCAGTGATTTTCGAGGGGGCTCTCAGGCCTTCGGCCACAGACTGAAGGCTGCACTGTTGGCTTCCCTACTTTTGAGGTTTTGGGACTTGGACTGGCTTCCTTGCTCTTCAGCTTGCAGTTGGCATATCACCTCACCCTGAGATCGTGTCAGTCAATTCTCCTAATAAACTCCCCTTCATATATATATATATATATATATATATATATAATGTTCTGTCCCTTTAGAGAACCCTGACTAATACATATTATTAGATACAATTCTCCCATTAGAATGAATGTTACACAGAACATTTAATTGATGGGAAAATACTAAATATTGAAATGGTCACAGGTTAATTATATTTTACTCTCTTTTTGGTTGACTCCATCTTAGGTAGGCACTCCCTTACCAATGGTAAAATGACTATCAGGACCTCCAGACTTTCACTCTACTCTATCAGACATATCCAGGGAAAGAGAGCTTTGCTATTCCAACAATTCTTGAAAAGAAATCCTGGGGTTTCTCTTATTAGCTCTAATGTGTCTACCTGTCACCGAAACAAAGGAGGATGAGCTTGTCCAGACTTCCTCACCTGCCCACATCATCTAGTGTCGAGGTTAACCTCACTTGAACCACATGGACAGAGCAGGGGATGAGAAATATGTGTGCTGTTATCAGATGAAAGAGACATGGGTATGAGGCAGGCAAATAAAACAGATACCTATTTTTAATAGTCGGTGACTTCTCTTTTTTAAAGAAAGCAGAAAAAAATACATTCAGCCTAGAAAAAGTTCTTATCAGAGAAACTATGCTTTATGTTTTTTTGTTTTCATTCTAACCCCCTTTTACTAATGCAGTAAACTAGTGAAACATAATGAAATTAAGCAGAGAGATCTGGACTATCTCCCCACACATTCTAACAGAGGACCCCCTTACAGTTGTTGCAACGTTGGACATAGATAATTCTGGCTGTGGACATCTCTGCTGCATTAATCCTTTAGCCACAGGCCTAATATTGGCCTGGAGATTCTCCAGAAATGTCCAACTGTAACATTTTATTATCACAAAATTCCAAGTATTGTCTGTCCTCTGGCCACTCAGCAGACCATCTTTAGGATCTAATATAGCAAAAGCCTCAAAGCAAATGAAGGTATTGCAGAGCAATAGCTATGCCCAATAGCCACATATATGTGAGGCCACTTCCAACCTCCAGACCAAGTTCATCGGCATCAGCTACAGATAATTCTAAACATTAAGTGACAAATAACAGGCTCACTAGCAAAAAGTCCTGGAAGATGAAAATCTACAAGCCTGGCAGCTAGCATATTCAGAGGCATCATGGCCATAAAGAAGGATATTTTTGGAGGGCAGAGAGACCATAACTTAAGCCATCTTATGGCATGAGCGATGACAATGTGAACAAATGAATCTGACAGTTTACCAAAGAGAGATGCAGAACAGATTGGTTGCCATATGATGGTGATAACTAGAAATTGTAGCCCAATCTTCATGGGTACCCAAAGAAGAAACAATTAGAAGTTTTTTGTCATTTTATCAAAACTCTCAGCCACTGAGAGACATGACATTTACATTAACATTTGCAAACATAAATTCAATACAACAGTAAAAGCACATAGACTCATGTTCATCTCATAATCAGATTATTCTACTTATGTTAAAGCCTATCTTTAGCATAGCTCTTTATATTTACAACTTAGAAATCTCTAAAACAGTACTATCATATTTAGTTTATTTGTCTGTGATTAATAATGGAAATAAGTTGCATGGTGATTTTAGACACAGAAGAAGAGACCTGGTGATGGTTAAAGCATGATTTGGGCTAGAAGGTAGAAGGAAAAGCATAGGAAAGATGAAAGGGAAGAAATCAAGCCGTTATTAAGCACCTGTTGACCCAGGCACAAACCCAGTCATTTTGTATCTGTTTTCTCAGCTAGACCTTTCAATAATCGCTTTCCAAGATGTTAGCTTTATCTCACTGATGAGAAAATTGAGGCCAAAAGAAATAACTCACTCAGGGGCTGGTGGTAGATTTGATGGCCATGTATGAATCAGTACAAATTGAACAAAGAAATAAATTCTATGCACATAAAGCCCTAAATATTAAGTGCATACAAATGTATTGATGTTAAAGCACACATTTAAATACACACCACTGAGCATAGATCAGACTGGAAAAGAAAATGTGCAGAGATCCACTTAGTCTTCTCTGTCTGTTACAGAAAAACTCCGAAGAACAAAACCTATAAAAATGAATCAGTAGCATTTCACACATTCTTATACAGATCGGCACATCATTGTCTCCATTGTGCAGTTTCTGTGTGTGTGTGACATTCATGGATCCTAAATTTTCTCCAGTTAAATTATGGCATGTCTCCCCAAAGGTCTGAATCATTTGTTGAAAAGTAAAATGATACTTGAGTAAGAGCTGTGGAACCAATTAAAATCCTACCCCGCAATACTAAGTAAATAGAAAGCCTCTTACTTGTGTCAGACCAAAGCAAATTCTAATATAATGTGCATAGAGTTGAATACAGCGTACTCTAATTTTAGCAGCCGAAATCAACAGTGGCTGTGTTGAGCCTTCAAATCAAGATATATTATAATGGTTTGCCCTCGTATAGGAGCTGGGGGTCCACTGCACATGGAATTAAATTAACAAATAAATGGGTCTTGGACATGTTTTCAAAAGAATTAAGAATCCTTCATTTAAAAATGTAGTTGACATAGTAAAGGTAATTAACCTTTTCTAAATTAAATTTTTTGAAATGTTTAACAGCTGTTCTTTCAAAATGATACAGCTCATATTCGATTTCCTCTTGTATTAAGCGATCTGTAATATTCCTAGGATTTGGGGGCAAGTCTTTTCTGAAGTAAGTTAATTCTCTCCTCTTTCTAATATTCATCCAATTTAAAAAGAGTAACAAAAACTCTACTAGGAAAAGAATGCCAAATTTCCTCTTATTTTCTACAATTATAATAATAGTAATAGTAGTGCTATAGTAGTAGTATAAATAGTGTATAAGTAGTAAAAATAGTGCATTTTTATTTGTTTGTTTTGCTATATACCAGATGCTTTAAATATAGGCCTTGAAAGGATACAAAGATTATTTCATTTAATACAAAAACTCTGTAAGTTAGGTTATGGGTATGATTCCCATTTTAAAAATTAGGAAGCTAAGGCTGAAAAAGCTTCAATCATTTGCCCAGTGCCACACAGCAACCAACAGTAGAACTGGGCTTAGACTCCAGGCAACAACAACTTCCAAACTTAAACAATGAAGCCCAAAAATACTGTGAGCTGATAAAAAAAAAAATATGTGTTATTAAAATGCGTAATCAAGATCTTGCCACTGGTCTAAAGGCCCAATAGCTTACTCTCAAAAACCTCTGGGTAACTAACACTGGTTCTAATTCCGCAGTCCTTATCTGAGCAAAGCACATGAACCGGGCTGTGTACACATGAGTGGGCTGAGAGAGAGTAGTGATCATGCCTGAGAGGACTATCCCAAGCAGAGCCTGAAATCACATTGAATATTATGTAACACCAATATTGATGATGGGGAACTGGCTCAGCTAAACTGGTCCCAAGACACAGCCAGACTAGCCTATATACAGAAATGTCATATAAATATAAGCCTGGACATAAAAGGGGGCAATTGTATATAAAGAAAATCTAATGTGACCTTCACTCACTTAGAAATTAATGTCCAAGAACTTGAACTCCCATGCCTCTCCTGCATTATTAGAGAATCTCTCTATTGTATAAGCTGGTTGCATGGACTACTTTCTAAATCATTTAAACATGTAAACTGCTTTTGATTCACCCTTCTAATGTCTGTGTCTAATGCCTCCATTAACCTGAACCTCTAGAACAGGGTTTGACAAACTACAGTCCATGGGCCAAATCTAGCCTTCCTGTTTATGTACAACCCACAAGCTAAGAGTGATTTTTACATTTTTCAGTGGCTGGAGCAAAAATAGAAGAAGGAGGAGAATATTTTGTGACATATGAAATTCAAATGTCAGTGTGTAAATAAAGTTTTATTGGAAATCAGCGATGCCCATTTGTTATATATTGTCTATGGCTGCTTTCTCACTACAAGTGCAGAGCTGAGTAGTTGCAATAAAGACTAGATGACTTGCAAAGCCTGGAATGTTTACTATCTTGCCATTTACAGAAACAATTTTCAGACTGTTGGTCTACAATACAAACTCCATGCTAAGACTTTTCCTGTTTTGTTCACTTCTTTATCCTTAACACCTAAAAAGGAGAATTAAAGTAAATGTATTGAGGAATGGAAGGAAGGAGGGAGAAAAGAAAGGAGGGAGGGAGAGAGGGAGGGAGGGATTGCTTTGTCATATACATGAAAATTAGATCAAAGAGTTGCTTGTCAAGAGTCTTTTAGAGAATATCTTAGCATCCTATCCAAGACTTTATTTGCAACTGGCTTTACTACTATTTATTGACCTCTATTTCTTCCCAACAGTTACAGATTCCACTAATACCTAATGTCCTTCCGTTGCTTAACCATATCATGCTATGCCTGTTCAGGCAGTGTTTTTCTCCCTTAACATCCTTCTGCCACCCAGACTCCCGTGGTCACTTTTCTGACTGGTGAAATTCTATTCATCCTTAAAAACCAAAATTAAATAGCATCTTCTCTACACGGTCTTCCCCCCAGCCTATGCAGAATAAATTGCTTCTTCCATTTCACTCTCATACATAGCCACATTGAGCCAATAATTTCAACATATATGTTTACGCATTTTGCTCCTGAACACAAAGGTGAACACCTAAAAGGCAAAGTATGATGACATTTAATTGATTGCTACACCCAACCCTGACATGTAACAGACATTCAATAACTGTTTGGTAAACAAATCAATAACCAGCCAATACTCCAGTGGATTTAATGCTAAAAAGATCCATCCAGTTGATCTGACTTGACTGTCTTGTTTTTTTAACAAAAACCTCTTGTGAAATTAGCCTTTTAAGTAGAAATTTGAACACCCCCCAAAAGATGTTTTGTGCAAAGACAGGAAAATCAGAATCAGTGTGAAGGCTGGCAAGGTGACAAGTGAAAGGAGATTATTCATCTCTAGATATGCTTATTAAAAAGCAATAAATACCCAACATAATATACAGAGAAATTACATAAAGTGACAAAATTAATCCAATCATAATACTAATGTTCTAAATTTATATAGCACTTTATAAAATGTCACTTAAAAGAAAATACCTAAATTACTAGCAATTAAATATATGATCTTTTTTTTCAGTGCTTTTAGAAGAGGTTTATATCTAGGGATTGACAAAATTGTTGAGCTTAAATGTTTAAAAGTGACACTGAAATCAGAAAAAATTGGCAGAGATAAACAATTAAATTCAGCAGGGAAAATTACAAGCCATAAAAGTCCTTAATGAACATAAGATAACCAGGTAGATACAGTGGAACAGAAGTTGAATTATCATTCTTAATGAGATGATCTGCATTTAGTGGCGTTATGTGTAATCCCAGGCTTTCTGAGGTTATGCCATAGTTCATCAACCCATAGTTCATAGACATCTTTATAGGAAACACTGGGAGGCCTTATTTCCTATGTTTCTAAGCCTCATAGATACTGTTTCTAGAGCCATTTTACCAAGTCTTGATTTGTTTAGTTTGAAGAAAGGATCTTTAAATAGTTCATAAGAGATCTGTTTCTTTAAATGAAACCAATTTGATAGAAGAATTTATTGTCAGGGTGCCCAGCTCCATAATGAAACAAGAATCAACAATTAACAGACATAAATAGTAAGTTGCTCATTCAAAGGCCGTAAACTCTCTTCCTAGGCAATATAAGCCCCCTTACTACGAGTTTCTTTCACTTACCAGCAGATTAATACAAGCCTTTTTAAATGCTTTTTTTTGTTTTCACCAGTATCTGTCAATATAATCACTGGATTCTTTTAAATAATATTTCAATCAATTCTCTCTTGGTTTCTGTAAGTTTCAAATCTTAATGGTAAATCTGATTCTCAGACTAGCCATTCTGTCTTAAAATATAGTGAAAATCCACGAATTAAAGACATTTGAAACTATCCTAGTAGTATATTTTAAAAGGGAGGGGAGTGAAGTAGTGATTAGCAATGAACATGTTAGGATGAGTTTATCATTGATATTTCTTTCTCAAAACTTATTGATTTACTCTAAGGAAATAAGAACTGTATTGAGTAAAGGGGAAATGACATTGAGAGATGGGAAATTCTCTGTGCCTATTTTGGAGACAGAGGTCTTCAGGAATCACTGTGCAGTAGAATTCTTGGAGATGGGGAAGCCCTGTGAGCTGCTATCACATATTACCACTGTGACCTCTCCAAACGTATGGTAACTGTCAATTCACCTGCCTGTAACTACAAGAAAAACATAGGCTCTGTAAGGGAGAAACTTCTGTTAGTTCTTCAGTACCTGGCTTCTCCTTTCTGTCTGCTCATATGGTCATGCAAAATAAAGCCTGCATTTTTAGTCTCCCTTGAAACTAGGTGTGGCAAAAGGTGATTTTTTTTCTTGTCAATAGAATATGAATGAAAACAATATGTGCAACTTCCAATTCATATTTTGGCTTAAAGAGAAGGAGCATACCTTTCCCTATCTTCCCTCCTTCTTCTAACTAGTATGTGGACATGTGGGAATTATCTTGTGCCATATACAAAAGGCCAGTTACCTAGGGATATGGGATGGTAAATAGATGTAAACTGCCTGGATTCATTAAACTACTCATACAGACTCTTACGAGAGAAAGAAATAAGTGTCCACCTTGGCTGTACTGAACCTTTATCTTAATTAAAACATCCTGTGAGAACAAAACCCATCATTGTGCAGTTGTTTGTAATCCTAATGCCTCTTTGTAAATCATGTTGGGTCAATCAATGAATATTTGATTAATGGAAGGACATCTAGACATATTGAAGATGGAAAGATAGATAAATATATGAATAAATGAATGGATGGCTCATTGAGTACATGAATAGATGGAAGGATGGATTTGCAAAAGAAATGGACACTGAAAAGAGAAGATATGAGTATTAACTTAAACATGTTTGCCTTGGACATGCCTATTCTTCAGTCTTTCAGTAACACGTGAATTCAAGTTGAGAAGACTTAAGGATAGGAATATCTTGAGTATTCGAAATTTGCCATTATAAACATCGGTGAAAGCTTCATGATCGCCCTCTTCTACTGGTCCCTGAATCCCACAGAGAAGTTTTATAACTCCACTGTCAGATTTCTCTTCTATTTTCTCTTAACTCTCAGCAATTACCCTTAATATTTATTTCATATAGAAATTAGAAACTCTGGCCAGGCACAGTAGCTCATGCCTGTAATCCCAGAACTTGGGAGGCCAAGTGAAGAGGATCATTCATCTCTAGGAGCTCAAGACCAGCCTGGGCAATATAGGGAGATCCTGTCTCTACAAGAAATTTAAAAATTAGCCAAGCACAGTAGTGTGCACCTGTAGTTCCAGCTACTTGGGAGGCTGAGGTGGGAAGATCACTTGAGCTAAGGAGGCGGAGGGAGGTTGTGGTGAACCGAGATCATGCCACTGCAGTCCAGCCTGGGTGACAGAGTGAGACCTTGTCTCAAAAATAAAAAAGGAAATTGGAAATTCTCATACCAGACTTCCTGAGTTGCCTGATACCAAACCTACAAAAGAACATACATCTTTTCCTTTCAATTATCCCTTCATATTACAGAGAATAGGAGTTACCTCCTCAGTGCCACATTTGCAGAAAAAATTCCCAGGCTCATGTTTCCTCTGTGATTGCATCTCCCACTCGACTCTCAAACCTCTGTAAACTGGCTCTGTTTCCACCAATTCAAATGCAACTGCTCTTACCAATATGACTACATCCAGCATATCTCTTTCAGCTCTTATTTAAACTTTCATTGGCATATGGTATTCGATATCCACTCACTCTGTTCGAAGTACCATCTTTCACTGGTTTTTGACATTGCAACTTCATGGTCTTGTTTGCCTCTGAGGCAGTCCCTTTCTCAGTCTTCATCTACTTCTCCTCCTGACTTTTACTTTAAATGTTAGTGGTCATCAGGACTCAGTCTTCTCTCTCAACACACTCTCTTGGTGATCTCAGCCACTCCCTTTGTTTCAGTAACCATGAATATGGTGATAATTTGCGCTCAAATTTTTCCAATTCCATCTATCGCAATTCCTTAAATCCAAAACCTACAAGATATTTCAATGTCATGATTTAAAGGTGCTGCAGGTCAATATACCGAAGTTGATTTTTCATTTTCCTAACCACTTCTTCTTCTTCCTTGTAGTTTTTTCTGTGAAATTTTGTAATAAAATATTTCCAAAAATCTTCAATTTTCCAGATTTTAAGATTTGCGAATAACGCACATTCCTAATTGATCTTCCAGTCCCAAATGTTAGGCAAGATGGAAATATCTGTGATATGGTTTTGCTGTGTCCCCACCAAAATCTCATCTTGAATTCTAACTCCCATAATTCTCACATGTTGTGGGAGAGCCCCGGTGGGAGATAATTGAACTATGGGGTCAGATTCCCCCATACTATTCTTGCGATAGTGAATAAGTCTTATTAAATCTGACGGTTTTATAAAGGGGAGTTTCCCTGCACAAATTCTCTTCTCTTGTCTGCTGCCATGTGAGACATGCCTTTCACCTTCCACCATGATTGTGAGACCTCCCCAGCCACATGGAACTGTAAGTCCATTAAAACTCTTTCCTTTATAAATTGCCGGGATGTGTTTATCAGGAGCATTAACACGGAATAAAACAATCTGTAATGTCATATATTGAATAGGGTGTATTTGCCTTAGACTTCTAATTTAATCCACACAATCCTATGTCAGGTAAAACTATTATTCCCATTTTATACATAAAAAAACTTAGGTTGATACAGAATAAATAATTTGCCCAAAGTTCCCCTTTTAATATGTGGTGGATCCAGGATTTGAGTGAAGGATTGTATGAATCCATAGCCTAATGTGTGCGACAGGACTTGCCCCTTTGCCTTGTAATTGTCTGTTCCCCTATTCAGGTCACCTACCAGATATGGACAGATGTTCTGTGATGGTAGGGTTGTTATAAATATCTCTATTATTTTTGTTATACTAAATAACAATATTAAGGAAAATCATTTATATTCACTTAAAATATTTTTAAAATACTAACAAAGAAAATAAATTAGGGTGATGAGTTATGATCAACTTAATACTCAAGAATATCATACATATCTCATTGTATTGGCCTGCATTTGTCTCCCTAATTTTACTGACAGGATGAGTGGTTGTGTTCATAACTCTCTAATATCACAAGGCTTTGTTTGTTTGTTTGTTTTAATCCATGGGTATCATCACTCGCTAACATCGTAGATTCCCCTTTATATTTGAATATTTTACTTCACCTTTGTACTTTTCTTACTGTTAGGCAGAGCTGTATACTTTTCTTTCTTCATATCTGCTCCATAGAATCTGGACAACTGTGGCATACTGAATGTTTGTGATGTTAAAAGGTGAGGAGAGGCTTAACTGATGGAAAACTTATCAAAATCTAAGGTGCCTGTGCTTTTGGATGCGTCTTACTGCATTTCAAATGCAACATTGCCCAACCACTGATGATGGCAGGTTTTATAATTTACTATAGCATTAATGTATGAAGAGTATATATAAGAGATTAGTGAGGGCTACAGAAGTATAATTTATTCTTCATATTATCACAGTCACCTGGGGAAATTCTTATCACTTACAAGAAGAGATGGTCTTGTCCCAGCCAAACAAGACTGCCATTTATCTCTTGTTTAGTATTCCTCAGTCTCATATGACAGAAATGGCAAGTTTCCAGAGTTGGAAAATATACAACTAAGAGTGATAACTAGAGGCAAAATGACTGAATAACAGATAGGCTTCTCCTGTCAATGCAAGCATGCAGGTGATTTGAACATATCTTATTAGGTATGGATAGAGCTCAGAAACCATTAACGCGGAAGAAGAGGTCAGGTGGGGCCCAGCTGCAGACAACACAAGGAAGTCTAGGCAGGTAAACTGTCAACAACACAGAGGCCCAGCAGTGTTCAGGTGTATGTCTCATCAGGAAGGAAAAAGAGAGCATCAGGAGAGCTGCAGCAAAGAGTAAGCAGTAATGTTGGCAAGGTGATGGGTGTCAGGATTGCCAAGGAATATGCATCAAGACTATGGCCATAGGGACTGTAGGGTTTCTGGTGACAGTCAGGAGAACAATTCTTGGGGAATTAGCAGAACTGGTAAGGAACCAAATTGTGGACTTAAAAACATTAGAACAATACAGGTACCCATGAGCTGAAACTGGAACATAAATCAGAAGCTTAGTGCTAGGGAATGATGAAAAACCTTGACTGGACTATAAGATCAAAGAAGAGCCAGCAGCTAGCTGACTTTCTGATGAACTAATGGCTGAAGGTTCTTTAAAATTTCTCTAACTGAAGATGAGACTGGATTCCGAATCTGAGGGAAGACTGGGTCTGGAGGTGAGAAATTGAAGCCAACTATGACAGCTGAAGGCACTTAGTGACTGGAAGCAAAGCAGGCTACACATTTTATCTTTATCACTTAAAGTCATGACCTTGGGCAAAGAACATTGTTGTCATATATGCCTAACAGCCTTGACCACTCCGAGAGTTGTTATAAGAAATTCATACAGAAAAGATGTTTCCTAATTGCTTGGCAAAGAATTTTTATATTCTTGTACTAGTTTTCATTTGTTGAATCGTCTAATCTACATATCTCTAAAATCTTTAGGCTATCATTTAAAACTCAATGTCATATGCCCTCATTAAGGAAGCAATTTGGTTAACTAATGTCATTATATTACTGAACATTCTAACTAATCTGACAAATTTTTCATAACCACCCAGTGGGATCCAGACTCCCTGGCAATTTCTAACAGACATGCTGAAAGATTAAAAAACTTACCAAAACTGTCACTTTTAAGACCTCATTTGCTAGAAAGTGGTGTTAGGACCCCCATGCCTTTACAAAATGTACCCTTCAATTTGATGCAGAATCTTAGATGACACTACATTTAAGCAATTTCCCGAGCTCCAAATGTAAAACTCTCTACTGGCAAGAACATGTCTAACATAACAACCTTTGCCCACTTTCGGACCATTAGATAGAAAAGACAGAAATACTTAAAAGTGTCATTATTCTTTTAATTTAGAAATTTACCGTTCGTCACACTTATTCCAGATTTGGGATGATACTTAATCATAACAGTTTTTAAAAATTCACAGATGAATAAATTCCATGCAGAATTAAATGAAATCAACTAAACAGTAAAGCTAAACTTACAGCAAAATGATTTAGAAAATGAAAGCAGCCAGATGAGAATTTCAGTCTCAGAGTGAGACACACTGATGAATTCCTGGTGGAATGCTGATATCGCCACAAAACTACTGTCACATTTGAAGAAGCCGATGCATTTTTCTTAATAGCCTATCCCTTTGTTTGCCACTACTCAAAATGAAAGTTATAAGAACAAAATGAACCTGACATTTAAGGAATGTGATAAAATGAGCTACGGAAGAAAAATGTACGGTAATAAAAATAGTATATTCAGAGGCAGAAACAAAACAAAAAACAATAATAAAACCAAAGCAAGCAATAAATTCTTTTCATTACTGTTTTCCAAAGTGACAGAAGTTTGACAACATTCATATTTGTGGGATATAAAAATGAAATTTGGATTCAGCAATTAAGCATGTAAACATTTTATAATGCATTCATAATCTTTCTACTGTTCTGACATACTTTAGATATATCCACTGTCATTAAATGCTGAATAAAAACATTAATGAGTATACCAAAAGTAAATCTTTGCTCACTTGATAATCATCACCAAATCACCATCAGCTGACACCACACATGGTAAACTGAAAGTACCAAATAAATAGTTGCTGAATAACTGAGCAAATGAATTGATTCCATATAACGAATGTACACAAATAGGTGTGCAGGAGGACCTGTCTTTGAATCGCCCTGGCCAATCCATGTCTTCCCCCTTTCCTTAGCAATTCTCAGGCCGAATGTACTGATAATGTAACATCCTGAGATAAGGAGAACTATCTGGAACAGCCTGGGTTTTTTCCATATCCATCCTGAAACACTTCAGCCCAGTGAGCAAAGTTTACTCTGGCGTATAAAAACCCAGAGTGCAATGCTTTGGGGGTTCCAAAGTTGTAGAGCAAAGTGGGGTAGGCACAGACAAGATTCCATTCACTCTGGCCAGCTTTCCTGAGCCTTGGGGGATGGCCTTGCCACAGATCTGTTTATCCTCACTGCCTATCTGTGAGTAATAAATTTGTTTTGCCTGACATCTTGAGTGAATATCCTGTTTCATTCGACTCATATGCTGGGTTTATGTGAAACCTCTGGCAGCTGGGTTTGTGCAAAACCTGGCAGATTAAGGAACCTTAACAGAAATTGGTGACGTGTTTAGAGTCCTCCTCTGGGGTTGATACTGGTGCATGAGGTGTTCCCCTCCTGGGAATCAGTACGTTGCCAAATGAACTGTTTTTATCTCAGCCTCTTGTATTGTTTTTGGCTATTTCACAGTTCTATCCCATTTGTTGCCTGTGTCAGTTCATTCCAAGGTGCTGTCAAAAAGAAGCTAACTGATCATGTTTACATCTTCCCACCACTCCCGGCTCTCAGAGCTTTAGCTACTGGCACCTAATATGATACAGCATTCGAATCTTATTAGATTCAGAATTACATGGCCTGTTAATTTCAGAGAGCTGGTGCTGTTAACTGGAATTTGCAGTGATAGAACCTCTTCAACAAAATATTTACCTCACTTAATATGCCTGAAAGATTGATTTTCCTTCCCTGACAAGGACACTATCACCAACTCCTGTGTCATTAGAGATTGCTGGTCAAATCTAAATTTTATGCCTTGATGGCACACACCTACAATGTTGTCACACTGAATTTGACTTTTTATTAATAGTCTGATTCAATTAGTCTAACAAAATTCTAAATAAACAAATTCTAAATAAACAAATTTACCTTCCCTATGATCAAAGGGGAAAGCAAATACACAGAACTGATGTCCAATCATTAACAGCAAATACCATTGAAACCAGCTCAGATCATCCCAGTTTGGAACTTTCTAAATCTTATTACACAAAACTAAATATAATTTAAATGAGCAAATATTGGTTCTCTTTTACCTCATATCTATTTAATTATAACATTTTCTCTTGGCTCACCCCACAAAGTCCCCTGAACAGCCCTAGATAGCTGTAGGTATTTAAGATGATACAATCTGCTTTTTGTGCAATTTCAGCTCCCTCTGAAATTAGGCCCAGCCCCTACATAACATGCCTATCTGCTGCTGCTGCAGTCACAAAGCACCCATAAGGGACAAATAAGTGTGTGAGTGGACACTATGGTTCTACCTGCAACAATATGTATGTAATATATGCAAGAAGCTGAGCATCACATAATAGCCTAAAGTCATGTGAAATAGGGACACGGTACAAGCATTTTGGAAATGAAGTCTACTCTCCTCTTTCCTGTTCTCTAATGACAGAAACAAATTTTGTTCTTGTTCACTATTGTACTCCAGCCCTAGCACTTGTAAGAACAAGTCCATATAATAATCCATATAATGGTATGAATTATATTTTATTATCATCTATTACTATATTGTTATAACAATCCACAGTACCAAGTGGTTATTATCGATGCTCCATAAATAATTGCTGAATAATCAATGCGTTCCCTGGAAATTGTCACACCTTACCACCATATTCCCATCTACCCTACACAAGTCACTTGAGAAACATTGTTTTATAATGGTTTATTATTTCTTGGGGAAAAATCATTTAAGAAATCATATTTAAAAATTTGATTTGTTTAATAATATGAAAATGTTCCATATAGCATTTCTACAATAAATATATTATTTGAGGATAATGCTTGTTGAACTAAAAGCAGCCTTCTTCGAAAGAATCTCAGAAAATCACCATTACTCAGAAAATCGGGGAAAAAATTCTAAAGCAATATTAAATCTTATTTTCAACTCTGCTTTCTTGCACCTCACTACTTCTTCCACCTGGGAAGGAATTAAAGGTCCACGCCTTAATTTATTACATGCTTTTAGTATACAAATGTTAGGGAACATGAACTGTGGATTTCCTCCATGTGATTGTCTTTCAGGGAAAACTTCCCACTGTCTAGAAGGGTGGCCATGAATACGAAGCCACACTTATATTGGCTAAGAACAACGTCTTGGAATAAGACAAGAAATGAAACTTTTGTTTATGTAATTATGCTGCTTTCTACTAAAACCTTTGCTTATATTTACATATAAAACATAAATAAAATGTGCTTTTTTTCCATTTATTCCTCAATCCAAAAGATTGTTCTGTGAACTGGTGTTATCATCTACGTACAGGGCATGAATCCTGCTGAATGTGGAAAGGGAGGCTGTCTAGTTACATCACCATCATGTTCCCTTTTGATAGGAAAAGCACATTAGGCAAGCACGTCTCCAAGTGTAAAAGCATATGTAGCAAGGGTAAATCCTTCAGTTTGCTTGAGGAAAAAAATAATTTTATCAAATTCCCAAATCTTCTAAGAACGTAAAGACTTACGAAATGCCTGCTTCAGCAAACTCCACATCCAACCACAGATCGATATGGTTCTCAGAGCCAACATTTGTCAAAATTTCAAGGTGCACCGGTGATTTTCAGTTCTTCACACTTGGCATCATTATTGATATGATAAAATAGAACTCCATATTTACTATCTGTTTGACATTTCAAATATTTCCTCAGAAGGTTTAACTAAATAAAAATAAAGAGTAAATGACTCTCCACAAGAGAAAGCAGGAAAGATCCAAAATTGACACCCTAACATCACAATTAAAAGAACTAGAAAAGCAAGAGCAAACACATTCAAAAGCTAGCAGAAGGCAAGAAATAACTAAAATCAGAGCAGAACTGAAGGAAATAGAGACACAAAAAACCCTTCAAAAAATTAATGAATCCAGGAGCTGGTTTTTTGAAAGGATCAACAAAATTGATAGACCGCTAGCAAGACTAATAAAGAAAAAAAGAGAGAAGAATCAAATAGTTGCAATAAAAAATGATAAAGGGGATATCACCACCGATCCCACAGAAATACAAACTGCCATCAGGGAATACTACAAACACCTCTACGCAAATAAACTAGAAAATCTAGAAGAAATGGATAAATTCCTGGACACATACACTCTCCCAAGACTAAACCAGGAAGAAGTTGAATCTCTGAATAGACCAATAACAGGAGCTGAAATTGTGGCAATAATCAATAGCTTACCAATCAAAAAGAGTCCAGGACCAGATGGATTCACAGCCGAATTCTACCAGAGGTACAAGGAGGAACTGGTACCATTCCTTCTGAAACTATTCCAATCAATAGAAAAAGAGGGAATCCTCCCTAACTCATTTTATGAGGCCAGCATCATTCTGATACCAAAGCCAGGCAGAGACACAACAATAAAAGAGAATTTTAGACCAATATCCTTGATGAACATTGATGCAAAAATCCTCAATAAAATACTGGCAAACAGAATCCAGCAGCACATCAAAAAGCTTATCCACCATGATCAAGTGGACTTCATCCCTGGGATGCAAGGCTGGTTCAATATACGCAAATCAATAAATGTAATCCAGCATATGAACAGAACCAAAGACAAAAACCACATGATTATCTCAATAGATGCAGAAAAAGCCTTTGACAAAATTCAACAACCCTTCATGCTAAAAACTCTCAATAAATTAGGTATTGATGGGACGTATTTCAAAATAATAAGAGCTATTTATGACAAACCCACAGCCAATATCATACTGAATGGGCAAAAACTGGAAGCATTCCCTTTGAAAACTGGCACAAGACAGGGATGCCCTCTCTCACCACTCCTATTCAACATAGTGTTGGAAGTTCTGGCCAGGGCAATTAGGCAGGAGAAGGAAATAAAGGGTATTCAATTAGGAAAAGAGGAAGTCAAATTGTCCCTGTTTGCAGATGACATGATTGTATATCTAGAAAACCCCATTGTCTCAGCCCAAAATCTCCTTAAGCTGATAAGCAACTTTAGCAAAGTCTCAGGATACAAAATCAATGTACAAAAATCACAAGCATTCTTATACACCAACAACAGACAAACAGAGAGCCAAATCATGAGTGAACTCCCATTCACAATTGCTTCCAAGAGAATAAAATACCTAGGAATCCAACTTACAAGGGATGTGAAGGACCTCTTCAAGGAGAACTACAAACCACTGCTCAAGGAAATAAAAGAGGATACAAACAAATGGAAGAACATTCCATGCTCATGGGTAGGAAGAATCAATATCGTGAAAATGGCCATACTGCCCAAGGTAATTTACAGATTCAATGCCATCCCCATCAAGCTACCAATGACTTTCTTCACAGAATTGGAAAAAACTACTTTAAAGTTCATATGGAACCAAAAAAGAGCCCGCATCGCCAAGTCAATCCTAAGCCAAAAGAACAAAGCTGGAGGCATCACACTACCTGACTTCAAACTATACTACAAGGCTACAGTAACCAAAACAGCATGGTACTGGTACCAAAACAGAGACATAGATCAATGGAACAGAACAGAGCCCTCAGAAATAACGCCGCATCTCTACAACTATCTGATCTTTGACAAACCTGAGAAAAACAAGCAATGGGGAAAGGATTCCCTATTTAATAAATGGTGCTGGGAAAACTGGCTAGCCATATGTAGAAAGCTGAAACTGGATCCCTTCCTTACACCTTACACAAAAATCAATTCAAGATGGATTAAAGACTTAAACGTTAGACCTAAAACCATAAAAACCCTAGAAGAAAACCTAGGCATTACCATTCAGGACATAGGCATGGGCAAGGACTTCATGTCTAAAACACCAAAAGCAATGGCAACAAAAGACAAAATTGACAAATGGGATCTAATTAAACTAAAGGGCTTCTGCACAGCAAAAGAAACTACCATCAGAGTGAACAGGCAACCTACAAAATGGGAGAAAATTTTTGCAACCTACTCATCTGACAAAGGGCTAATATCCAGAATCTACAATGAACTCAAACAAATTTACAAGAAAAAAACAAGCAACCCCATCAAAAAGTGGGCGAAGGACATGAACAGACACTTCTCAAAAGAAGACATTTATGCAGCCAAAAAACACATGAAAAAATGCTCATCATCACTGGCCATCAGAGAAATGCAAATCAAAACCACAATGAGATACCATCTCACACCAGTTCGAATGGCGATCATTAAAAAGTCAGGAAACAACAGGTGCTGGAGAGGATGTGGAGAAATAGGAACACTTTTACACTGTTGGTGGGACTGTAAACTAGTTCAACCATTGTGGAAGTCAGTGTGGCGATTCCTCAGGGATCTAGAACTGGAAAAACCATTTGACCCAGCCATCCCATTACTGGGTATATACCCAAAGGACTATAAATCATGCTGCTATAAAGACACATGCACCCATATGTTTATTACGGCATTATTCACAATAGCAAAGACTTGGAACCAACCCAAATGTCCAACAATGATAGACTGGATTAAGAAAATGTGGCACATATACACCATGGAATACTATGCAGCCATAAAAAATGATGAGTTCATGTCCTTTGTAGGGACATGGATGAAATTGGAAATCATCATTCTCAGTAAACTATCGCAAGAACAAAAAACCAAACACCGCATATTCTCACTCATAGGTGGGAACTGAACAATGAGATCACATGGACACAGGAAGGGGAATATCACACTCTGGGGACTGTTGTGGTGTGGTGGGAGGGGGGAGGGATAGCATCGGGAGATATACCTAATGCTAGATGACGAGTTAGTGGGTGCAGCGCACCAGCATGGCACATGTATACATATGTAACTAACCTGCACAATGTGCACATGTACCCTAAAACTTAAAAGTATAATAATAAAAAAAAAAACTAGTAAGAACAGCAGGAAAAAAAAATACTACTAGAAAGGGAGAGGGTAATTGATGAATGGATTAGAGAGAAGGAAAAAAGAGGAAGAAAGAAACTTAAACCAATATAGATGAAGATATTTACAGATAGATAGATCTTTATCTATGTATTTATATCTATATCCAGATAGAAAGAGAGATAAGTCCATATTGTATGTTCTCACCTCATTAAATACTTTTTGAAAAACTGATTATACAACTGAAAAAAAAGAGTAAATGACTCTCTAAAAAGAGAACAAATCCCTTCAAAACTTCATATCAAAATTATATGTGTAATCAGCCTGTGTTTACGATTTAGATCCTATTAACCTATACATACAAATTTCAGTAAATTCAGCAATAACACCTGCATCATTTGGGCCTTAGCAATCTTCAAAGATATCCCTGTGGACATAGCATCACTGCAAAGCCCATTGAGAATTTTGTGAGATCAGGATGGGCCACTGACCACTTCTGCCACTAACCGTGGACTGCACCTTGGTGTTTGTCATTCACTAATACCATGAGACAAAGATGTGCACTTCTAAGCCATTACTCAATGCTCAGTGAGCTGGTCAGCATTGTTGCTTATGACTGAAGCAACTCCTCTCTCTTACATAAGGCCCATGCCAAGCTGCTGGCAGCACAAGGACACTACATCATTTACGGAGAGAGCTCTTTAAAATTTCACATTCAGCCTTTCTTCCTGCCAGGTGGTCTGGATGAGAAACGGTTCAAACAAGAGGGATCTTACTCTGCCCTGAACTAGAAATGCCCTCTGGCTCCAGTAATACATGGCCAGTCATAGTCCTCTGACATATATTCACATTGTAATAAAGTCTCAGAATCCTTTTCTCACAATATTACATGTCCACTACCCCAGTCATGCCAAAATGTTTCTAAACTCACATGTAGCAGCCACTTTTCACAGAGAAAGTCCTCATTCCTCATGTACATTGGTGGATTCAAACAAATATGGATTGAGGAAGTTGAGAAAAGGCACATAACTCCATATTCTAGGCGTATCTTAGTTCCTTGCTAGAGATATGACCTATTCATCAATATCCTTTTGACAATTCTAACTCAAATTACAAATGAAGAAAAAAGATTATTTCTTTTAATAATCACAAAGGGTGATTTCTTGAACTACGCTTTATAAATGATGACCCTAGATCAATTAAGAAACACCAATTACATACCCGATAGTCACTCTCAAACAAAACTGTCAGAAGGAATCAGAGCAATATGTTCAGGAACCGAAAAACAATATCATCAATCACGTTAAGACTGTCAATCTTTTTGTGATCTGCATACTGATCATAATACAAATGCTATAAACACTAAAAAGCTATGACATTTTAGATCATGGCTTTTTAAATTGATAATAACTTTGCTGCATATTTTTTGGTGCAGTGGTTAAAGACAAAAATATAAAAGCTATTACAATATAAATAAATATCTGGGTGTACAAATGAACCCTCACTAAAATATTTATTTGAAGTTAATTAAATTCCATTATTACATCCATGATTACAAATTATCTCCTGTGCTCTAATCACTGGGTTAATTGCTTATTATCTTGCAAAGATGAATACATGCAAGTCAACTCACTCAGAAGATTCCTACATTTGGTTTCAGCATAAGTAATGATTCACTTTTATCTAAAAGGACTGCTATAACAAATTAGCTAAGTATACACTCTTACAAATGGATTCCACTGTATCTGTGTCAGGTGCTCGCAAAGCCCGGAACGGTGCTGGACACACAAAGATTTCAAGAATGAATAAAGAAAATTCTTCACTATCCAGGACTACTGTAAATGCATATATCACATTCTCCCACAGATAAACCTTGAAGGAAAAGGTAGAAAAGACACCAGATGCAAGACTGTACCATGCTCCTCCTTCTTAACTTCTAATATTTGTCTTGTTGACTGGACAGTGAAGAGAGCTTGAAGACTGAATACATTTCCCAGCCACCCTATCCCAGCACTCCTCAACCTTTTTGGCAACAGTGACTGGTTTTGTGGAAGACAATTTTTCCACAGACCAGCATGGGGGATGGTTTCAGGATGATTTAAGTGCATTACATTTATTGTATACTTTATTTCTATTATTATTGCACTGTAATATATAATGAAATAATTATACAACTCACCATAATGTAGAATCAGTGGGAGCCCTGAGCTTGTTTTCCTGCAACTAGACAGTCCCATCTGGGGGTGATGGGAGACAGTGACAGATCATTGGGCTTTAGATTCTCGTAACAGAGGGCAACCGAGATCCCTCGTATGCAGAGTTTACAATAGGATTCGCACTCCTATGAGAATCAAATACCACCACTAATCTGACAGGAGGTGGAGCTCAGGTGATGGGGAGCAGCTGTAAACACAGATGAAGCTTCACTTGCTCACCTGCCGCTCATCTCTTACTATGTGGCCCGGTTCCTAACAGGCCACGGACTGGTAGGGGTCCACGGCCCAGGGGTTGGGGATCCCTGCCCTATCTCATTCACGACCTCTTAGCTTCTGCCCTTCTCCCTTATTTTATCTCTAATCTTATGTCTAACAATATCAGATATTTTAAGCATCCACTTCTATGCTTTGTGAGAAAAACCTAAGTCCAAGATGGGATAAATTTCATTAGGTAATATTTTCTTCATGCAATCAGTGGATCAGAGTGTCATATATTTTTGGTGCCCTATTGTACCAAACACAGAGTTAGGTACATATTTCTATGAATAATTGTTGATTGGTTGTTTTTAAAAAATAACTGTCAAACTATCTACTGGACTTTCATTTTTCATTCAAAGAACTTTAAAATAAATCTTGAAGATGCCCTCACAATGAAAACATCATTAAGAACAGACTTTTCTTATAAGACCCAATAGAATGTCTTGAACATAGTTCCAGACACAGCTAAATTCAATAAATATATTAACAAAATGCTGTAATTATTATAGGTTAAGATAAAGATAAATGTCACCCCTTCTTTTATGTATTGAGTATATATTTCCCAATTAGTTGACTGAAATTAATTATAGAGGGAAAGAGGAGGGTTTGCCAAAGGTATATACATCTTCCTATGATTAGATTAAAATCAGACATTAAATCGATTCTGTAATACTGAAATAGATAACAGACACAAAACTTTAGAAGTCTATAATTATGCCCAAGTGCAATCTGATGCATTATATGCATTATTTTAATGGGTTTGCTATAAGAATTATTGATAAAACCTAACATAACAGTGAGCTGAGATCACATCACTGCACTCCAGCCTGGGCGACAGAGCGAGACCCCATCTCAAAAAATAATAGTAATAAAAATAACATAAATAATGGGGTCTTTTTGATTCTCATAAACATTATTTTAATTTTTATTTTTTCCAGATTTATTGAAGAATAATTGAAAAATAAAAATTGTTTATATTTATGATGTACATTTTTTTTTTAGATAGAATCTCACTCTGTTGCCCAGGCTGGAGTGCAGTGGCACAATCTCGGCTCACTGCAGGCCAAGTCTTTATATACTGTGCCCAGCCATGTCTTTATATACATGTCTATACACACACACACACACACACTCTCTCTCTCTCTCTCTCTCTCTCTCTCTCTCTCTCTCTCTCTGTAAAATGAACGATTACCATGATAAATCTAATGTATCTATAGATTTTTGCTAGATCAAGTAGCTGTATTTAATTATAAAAAAGTAGGCTGGGTGCTGTGGCTCATGCCTGTAATCACAGCACTTTGGGAGGCCAAGGCGGGTGTATTGTGAGATCAGGAGTTCAAGACCAGCCTGGCCAAGATGGTGAAACCCCGTCTCCTCTAAAAATACAAAAAAATTAGCTGGGTGTGGTGGCATGTGCCTATAATCCCAGCTACTTGGGAGGCTGAGGCAGAGAATTGCTTGAACCCAGGAGGCAGAGGTGGCAGTGAGCCAAGATCGCACCACTGCACTCCAGCCTGGGTAACACAGCAAGGCTCCGTTTCAAAAAAGCTGAGCTCTTAACTATGTATACATGCTTATCTTTTCATAAAGATTTTTGGACTATTTCTACTAATTAGATAAGCCCGCAAATATTTTCAGTTTTGACAGACCACATCATCATTAGACTTTTAGGTGCTAGAGAGCCTCAGTGTATTTAAATATAGCTTATCCAATTTATAACATGTTTTCATGAATGAGCACATAATTATCATTCTGCCAATCCCACCCTGAAATGGAGGACTATGTAATTATGAATTAATGAGATGGATTTTCTTTTGTAACTTATGTAAATTAATTTCACTACTTTACAAAAGTGCATTGTTCCCATGATGACTGAATTTAATGTTTTTACTTATGTATATTTTTTTAATTATAGTATTGAGTTTTAAGTGTGCACATTATTATTTGTGTTAGATAGTTTCTATGGACTGGACTCTTATGTGAATGAATTATATAAACAGAATTTTTTTAATGATGATGTTTACTTATGGCTATTCTGTGTCCAAATGCTCAAAAATAACAATTATACTAATCAGTCATCAGGCTTGATTTATGATAAGATAAAAATATAAAGAAACTTGGTAGCTAGTAACTTAAGCATTCTGAACATACAAATGTTAAGAGTAGTTATATTTTTAGTAACTGTATACAAATAAGATGCAACAAGATGAGGGAAAGACTGACATTTAGCCAAATGAGAAAACAAGTTCCATCACAGATTAGTATCTCTGCAAGGATAATTATAAGTATGGAATAATATTTCATAGGAAATTTTTAAATTACTAGGCATTTAAAAAGATGTCTAGTCAAGCGATGAATACACTAAAATCTCAGGCCACTCTACAATTCATCCATGTCATCAAAAACCACTTGATACCCCAAAAGCTGCTGAAATTAAAAAATAAATAGGTGATTAAAATATTATAGTAAAGATAACCTTTGGCACTTGTAGAACTTCTTTTTCAAAATAACTGAAACTATATACTTTATACTAGTAGATCATATACTTCAATTAGTATATGTTAACTAGTATTGCAAATCTTGTTTTGAGCTCACCTTCTGATGAATATTTTTCTTTATATAGCTTTCCAGTTAGTTAATTTTGAGCCTACCAATACCCTAGTATACAACTTATTTTTGTTAGGTAGATGAGGAGGGGGCACTATTTCTATCCCTTTTCATGCCAGAAACTGCATTCCTAATTCCTGACTTTACATGATATACTTGTTTTTGCCCTGGGGTCATATGACATTTAGAAAAATATATTTATTTTTCTAAAAGTATATGACATTTAGAAAAATATATTTAATATGAAATCAATGCTCCTGTATAAAACAATTAAATACAACATATCAAAGGTAGAAATGAACCAAGGGATACAAGAACTTTGGGCCTACAAGAATGCCAGTGATTGGCAAAGAAAGAATGTTGAAAATCAAGGTTAGGTCATATTGACCACAACCAGAATCTTTTTTTCATTTTTAGATATTCTAATCAGATACTCATTTTCTGCACTCCCTGTGAATGGGTTTTAGTGAAAGAGCTCTACCTGTAACATATCTGTAAACATGTTATATTTGTTTATAAATATTTATATAATTTAAGAGTTTTTTTTCAATTTTACTAGAAGATAAATCTCATGCCACACAATATAAAAAGTGCATCGTCACTGGTACTTTACAAGCTAGTTTCTACCTTTTTCCAGTTATTACCAGAATTCTGAAAAGCACTAGAAGAGCAACAGCCTTGGCAGAAATCTTTACCATCATTCATAATTTAAGTTTTGAATTTTCTAAAGGCTTTAAATAGAATCTCTGACAAGATAAGCACAAAATCTATAGAAAAATAGTTCAGAAATGTAAACTTGTAGAGTTTTAAAGAAGATAGACTCGAGGGTTACTGAAATTATTGTTACCTCTCTCATGGTCTCTATTTTCTGATGTTTTTTACAAAGTGTTCTGGGTGAAACAGTGGATTCAACATAAATTGAGCATCCGCTTTTTCTGCTAAAAAGAAATACAAACTCAATAGAAAACATTCCATGCTTGAAAAATTCAAGTAAATAAAATCTCTAAGAACCAGAAATGAACAGAGAACTCAGAGTAGCAAACAGGAGCTGAAATCAACAGCCCACAGACAAGCTGAAAGGGTATCAGGGATAATGCCATAAGGAATATGCCCCATTTTGGACCCCAGGACAAAAACAGGTATACCTTGTAAAGTCAGGAATTAGGAATGCAGTTTCTGCCATGAAGGGGGATAGAAATAGTGCCCCCTCCTCATGTACCTAACAAAAATAAATTGTTCCCTGTGGCCAAGATGTGGGTTCAAACTTAGTGAGTATGGTTTGAAATGGGTCTATATTTCAAGGAGGTGTTGGCGCAGGCAGTAAAATCTCATAACCAAATAAACAACTATGGGAAAAACTCATGAGTTGAGGTGCTGACATAAACTGAGGTTGCACACCCAGTGATGCTAGGGTATTGGCAGGCTCAAAATTAACAAACTGGAAGGCCATATAAAGAAAAATATTCATCAGAAGGTGAGCTCCAAACAAGATTTGCAAATTACAAGTAAGTTAGATGCTGGAAAGGTAGTTAATCTATGCCACAAATGAGGGAATTAATTTTGATAAATTAATTATACTAACGAAAACTGAAAAGGATTTTGACTTCTGCTTCTGACCAAGATTGAATAACAGACACTAGATCTAGCATCATGCCAGAAGTGAACAACAATAAAAGATAACAAAATATGGGAACCAATGATTTTCAAGGTGCTGGATGCCAGGCAGTAAAAGACAGTGATCCTTGAAGCTGGAGAAAAAACAATTGGAGTCTTACAATTACCCAAGTTTACTGCTTTGAGAGAGTTTCCAGGCCTTGCAGTGGGCAGAGGAGCTCATGCAGAGCCAGGAAGATTTATTGAGTTAGGGAGACACTGCAGAGAGTCTGGAGAAATCAAAGCGGCAGAGTTTGCAAGACAACATCAAAAAGGTGAGAGAACTTCAGAGATTCAATGAGGGTTCTGGAGTATTCACCAGAATATTGATCAGTCTATTCATGTAAGGCTACTAGGAAAGGCACGGAAAATAACACCCAAAAGAATTAGAGAGAATACCCAACTCTTACAGTGACAGATAGTGACTGTCCCTACCAGCAACACTGGGAAACCTCATAATTCACCGGGCACTGGAGAGAGTACACAGAAGGGTCTTGCCTTGTGGTAAGGAAAAATTAACCTTATACTAAACATAATTCTTGTCCCACCCAGAAGTCTGAAAAGAAAGACCCAAAATATAAAACTTAACTGTATCCCAGAACAAATCTCAAGAATATTTATAGGAATATAAAATAACCCAGCACCCTAAAAGGTAAAGTTCACAATGTCTGATATTCGATCAAAAACTATGAGGCATGCAAACAATAAGGAAAACACAACTCATAATCAAAAGAAAAACCAATACGTCAAAGCCAATGCAGAATTGACAGTGTATTATAATTGTCAGGAAAGACATTAAAACTGATAATAGATTTAAACCTAACAATATATTTAACCACATAGCATGTGATCTAGCCATACTAATGTAATCACATAGCATGTGATCTAGCCATAATAATTTAAAGGCAGAGATAAACATATTGGATAAAAAACAAGACTCAATTACACACTGCCTATAAGAAATATACTTTAATATAAGACAACAATAGATTAAAATTATAAGAATGAAAAAATATATATCAAAAAGATACATTGCTTTATTAATTACATTAAACCAGAATGGCTATATGAAATATCAAAAATATTTCAGAAGAAAGGATATTATCAACTACAAAGATCATTCCTAATGATAAAAGGATCAATTTATCACGAAGGTATAGCAATCACTAATGTTTGTGAACTCAATAACAAAATTCAAAATACCTGAAGCAAGAAATACTTGAACTACAAAGAGAAAAAGGAAAAATCCACAATTAAAGTCATAGATTTCAATATCCTGATTTCACTCATTGATAGAATAGTAGATAGATAATCAGTCCAAAACACCACCACTGGATTTGGTAACATCGAGGTCACTAAAGCAATTGCAGAAGAATGGTGGGGACAGCAAGCCAGCTAACATGGGTCATGAAGAGAAAGGGAGGAGACTAAGTGGAAACACCAACTCTATGGGCTCCTTCAAAGTCTTTTGCTGTAAAGAAGAGCTGAAAAATGAGTTGTACAAGGTGCAATGTGAGTCAAGGTTTTCTTTGCTTTTTGAAATATAAAACAAACTAGAACAAATGCGCCTGCTTAAAGGGAAGTTCAGATAGTACAGGAGAAAATTATATACAATACAGAAGAAAATGGGAATAACTAAAAAAAGACAACTTGGAAAACACAAGAGGAAAGAGAAATCAATAACAGACAACATAAAAACTTCATATATTAGAAAATTTAAAACATATGTCTGAATAATTCACAAGTTAAAGAACAAAAGCATAATAAAAATTAGAACACATTTTCAAACTGAACAAAAATTAAAGTAGTATTAGAGATAAAAATTTGTGATGAGCCAGCTTATACAGTATTAAAGGGATATGTCTATAAATTTAAAGTCTTTTAAAAGTCTGTTAAAAAAATTAAGGGGCCGGGCACGGTGCCTCACGCCTGTAGTCCCAGCACTTTGGAAGGCCGAGGCAGGTGGATCACACCAAGAGAACGAGGCCATCCTGGCCAACATGGTGAAACCCCATCTCTACTAAAAATACAAAAATTTAGCTGGGTGTGGTGGCATACATCTGTAGTCCCAGCTACTCGGGAGGGGGAAGAATTGCTTGAACCCAACAGGTGGAGGTTGCAGTGAGCCAAGATCATGCCACTGTACTCCAGCCTGGCAACAGAGTGAGTCTCCGTCTAGAAATAAATAAATAAATAAATAAATAAATAAATAAATAAATAAATAAATAAATAAATGTAAATAAAAAAATAAGCCTGGGCAAGGTGGCTCATGCCTGTAATTCCAGAACTTTGGGAGCTCAAGATGGAAAGACTGCTTGAGGGAGTTGGAGACCAGCCTGGGTAACATAGTGAGACCCCATCTCTACAAAAAAATAAAATTAGCTAGATGGTGGTATGCCCTCTAGTCCCAGCTTCTTGAGAGGCTGAGGTGAGAGGATTGCTCAAGCTCAGGAAGTTGAGGCTGCAGTGAGGTGTGATCACACCACTGTAGCCCAGCCTAGGTGACAGGGTGAGACCCTGTCTCAAAACAAACACAACAAAATTAAAGGCTATCAATAAATAAGAATCCCACTTAGCAATTAGGAAAAAAAAACAAAAAGAAAAAGAAACAACAATAGTGTTTGCTTCTGTATCTGGACTACTTGGGGAACATAAAACATAAAGGGATCTAAAACTAAATTACTAAGTAAACTTGACAGTCAAGCTTATCAACCAAATAACAGATCAATGCTTAAAAGCCAACCTGCAAAGCTCAAGGAGAGACATACTATTTAAGTAGGTTTCCATTTACATTGACAATTCTGTCATTTCTGTTTTCTATCAAAGGCAAACAGAAATACACAAGATCAATGGAACAATAAATTCCTTGTATAGAAATAATGAGACCATACAGTCATATCTGAAAAATGCACACACTAAGCTACCAAAGGCCTTCGAAGGCCTCTTTTTTCACCACACACTATTGACACATGTCCAGACATTGAGGTCATAGAAACTAATCATACTCCTTTAAAAAAACTGTACTTTTTCTTATAATAAAATGACATAACATTATTTTCTAATCCTTTGCCTCTGGCCTAAAAATCATAATCTGCATTAACTTCAAGAGAAAATTAATGTCTAAGAAAAACCCATGAAGAAAGATTATAGCATGGGATATAATAAATTATTGGTCATTCCAAAAGATGGGATAGGTAATTACATAATAAATGAAATGTGAAACTCTTTCCCAAATAAGAACTTGTTCAAAAATAAAGCTGTTATGCTTTTTATTTAACCTGTCAAATAACATTCTTTTTTTTTTTTTTTAGTTCTTTGTGAGAGCACATTTCTTGGTTAATCATGGCCAGAAAGAAAATCTCTTTGCTATTTATCAGGCCACACATTATTTTATTGAGGGATATTCATAGGATAATAGACTAGAAATAATATATTTATGAAATGAAAACATTCGTTTTTTTCACTGATTGAAAAAAATCATGTTACTTGGGCCAATCATTTTGTTGAGATCATGGAATAGATGAACACATCATTTCTCTCAACACTCATTTCTGCTGGGTCTAGCCAAGTAAAGCAACATCTGTAAGTCAGTGTGGTAAAGGTTATGAGGCAGCCATGCCCTAGAGACCCTGTAGAGAGAGGGTGAAAGACACAAGAGTCAGAACAAATTTGAAGAAATGAGTTAAATTAAGCCAGGCACACACAGTGGGAAAAAACAATTCTACTAAAAGGAAAATTCATATAGAAAGGCCCAGAGACATCATACTACAAACATTCCATCTTATCACAATAAAATGTAAAAAATATTTTCTAAATACATGACTGGAGGACAAGATGGCTGACTAGACATACCCAGGAAGGGCCACTCCCACTGAGTGCGACCACGGCTTTGAGTAAATTAACATAATTGGGACAGATCTCTAAGAGAAAATGTCAAGAATGGATGAAGGTATCACGCAGACACTGAGGCTGAGAAGGGAGGAGGCTAGGAACCCTGTGTGAGGTGCCTGATTACTGAGGGTAGTTCCAGGACCTGAACAGCTCCTGGGAAATGGGTGAGTTAAGGAAATGTGGGGCTGCTCACCCTTGCGATGAACCTCTGGGATCCTGGCTACAGAAAGCCTCGCATCCCCCATGGACATCTAGGCTGATGTGGGTATCTGCCCAGAGAATAGGCACAGATGGGTCTTCAGCCGGTATGGAACTAGGAACCTTTGTGAACAGCACAGCTCCAGGAGAGCATAGACAGGGGCACCCCTGGCCCAGGGTCCCCATCTCCCTCTGAGAATGTCTTGCCTCAGCTGACCGCCATGCCAGGACTTACTTCCCCATGGGACTGGGGAACAGCTATTCTTCAGGCCCCTTGCCTGCCAGCCCCTCCCACGGCACCTGCCTGGCTGCCCCACAGGGTTGTGTGCATGGTGCAGCCTCCACTGCCCAGCCTGGATGCTTTCCTGCACCTGATTATGTTTCCAGCAACCTAGGAAGGCTTTGGATCCCCCAGCACACCTGGAACCCGAATCCAAGGGTCCAGAGGATAGAGCAGCAAGAAAATCCTAGCACCCAGGGCTGGAGCACACAGCTAAGGAGTGCCTAGCTGAGATCTGTGGCCAGCACCAGAGCAGGAGAGGAGCCCACAGTCTCAGAGCATGAAGGGGGTGAGATGCGCAAGTTTGTGGGCTGTAGTGTGAGTGGGGCATGCCTCACTCCACAGGGCTGGCCCACAAAGGGTGTGGCCTATCTCCCTGCTGTGGCCTCTGCTCAAAGAGCACCCCAGCCCAGAACACCTCACAAAAGAAATGCAGGCACAGTGCCAGTGGTTGCAGGGGGCTCTGACAAGGCTCGGGAGCAGACCTGGTGAGGAGGTTACCTCTCTTCCTCCCTCACAACAGAGCATGACTGTACACACAAGGAATTACAGAGAAGCCACACAGCTGAATTAGAGCCTATTCACCACCCATGAATCTTAAAGTGCCATCTACTGGATCACAGCCCAAACTATAATACCAAAAATATTTTGCTAATATACTCACCCTGTGAAGCCAAGGACAAGCGTTCAGCCATAAAGACCCTATACAGAGTCTTGGCCATCTAAAAACATCTAGAAATGAAGCCAATGGACTATGATCAACTTACACCCAAATTAAAGAAACACCAACCCTCCCAGATGAGAATCAATTAGTGCAAGAACTCTGGCAATTTAAAAAGCAAGTATCCCTTTACCTCCAAAGAAGTCCACTAGCTCTCCAGCAATGGTTCTTAACCAGTCTGAAATGACTGAAATGACAGATATACAATTCAGAATCTGAATGGCAAGGAAGCTCATAAAGATTCAGGAGAAAGTTGAAACCCAATCAAAGGAATCCACAGAATCCAGTAAAACAATCCAAGAGCTGTAAGACGAAATAGGCATTTTAAGAAGGAACAAAACTGAACTTCTAGAGCTAAAAAATTAATTACAAGCATTTCATAATACAATCAAAAGTATTAACAGCAAATAGACTAAGCTGAGGAAGGAATCTCAGAGCTTGAAAAATGAGTTATTTGAATCAACACTCAGACAAAAATACAGAAAAAAGGAATTTTAAAAAATGAACAAAACTTCCAAGACACATGGGATTATAAAAAGAGACCAAATCTATGACATATTTGTATTTCTGAGAAAGGAGACAGAATAAGCAACTTGGAAAATATCTTTGAGGATACAGTTTGTGAAAATTCCCCTAATTGCATGAGAGAGGTTGACATGAAAACTCAAAAAATACCAAGAACCCCGGCTAGAAACTACACAAGATGACCACTCCCAAGGCACATAGTCATCAGATTCACGAAGGTCAACACAAAAGAAAAAGTCCTAACGGTAGCTGGAAAGAAAGGTCAAGTCAGATATAGATGGAACCCCATCAGGCCAGCAGCAGACCTCTCAGCAGAATTGGAAGAGATAATTTATGAAAGCAAGAAGGTCCCTGAGGAGGTGAGTAGCACTTATAACCCAATTTCTGGTGGAAGATTTGTTCTCAAGGAGGAAGGAGCTATTTTTCTACTTAGATGCAATAGAAGAATAGAAGGTTGACCGAAAGAACATGTGTCTTTAACAAACACTTATGAGGTGCCTATCACTGTCTTAGGAGCTTTACAAATGCCTGTCACTGTCTTAGGAGCTTTACAAACATCAACAATACAATGCTCCTTACAACCTTGTGAGGTAATATTATTATTCCCATACTACAGATGAGAAAACAAAGGCACAGTCACGTAACTAGGAAGGAACAGAGACAATTTGATCCCAAGCAGTCTGGCTACAGAGTTCACAATTATAGCCCTTAGTTCTATGTCTCACTTTAAGGAGAGGTTCAATCATATAAATTAATTTGTCCATTTATTTAAATAGTTTATAAGACAATAAAGGATGGCATACCAGTGATTAATACAAGGACTTGGAGGGAGAAGAAAAAGAGGGAATGAGTAAAAAGGGAAAGAAGTAGTAAGTTCTAAGAGGACAAAATGAAACATGTAAAATTAAGCCCCTGGGAAAAGCAGTGGTGACTCAATGTGTGGAAATTCATACATTCAATGTTCTTGAGCAAACAAGATTATTTTTGTAGTAAATTTGCTTAATTTTTATTTTACTTCAGAGGACTATTAAATTTACTAATATATTACCAAGGGTAAGATAATTTATTTCTGGGTAAAGGGATCTCAAAGAAACACATTAAATTCTTATAGCTGGAACATAAACAAACATATACAGGCATGGCATTAGTTTATTAAGAGAAAATATAGGAAAACATATTATGCCATATATGTTCATGTTTTCCAGTTGGATTGCTAAATTATTAACAAATAGGTGAAGAAAATCGAATGTTATTGAGGGGAATAATTTGAAGATCTTATGAGTCATTAAATATTTATGAAATAAGCCGTAATAATCAAAAATGGCAAGCTTAATCAAATATTCCTTTTAAATATATTAGAAATATTACTTGGTATTTTATATTTATTTGATAGGGTAATTTGATAATCCATGTTATCAAATAAAGAATTTTTCCTCTCAATAAAAATAAAAATAAAGAACTTTTTCTTATTTTCTAAGTATGCCTATAACGCAAATAAATAGCAGTTTGAGATATGAAAGGTCATATATATATTTATAAAACAAAATATTGAAATTAATAAGATATATAAATTCTAGAAATTCAAAAGCATTTACATAATACTTTTTAAAGAAAGTTTTAAATTTTAATGTAGTACACCTGAATTATCAAACTCCAAGGTTACACACTATAGGACTGAAGAGTATTTAATATAATTTCTCCATAGAAGATACCCATAGTTAAAAATTTAGCAAGGAAGAGATATAGAAATTCATAGAAGATATAGTTTGAATCCCTACATCTTTGAGTCTAATCACGCATTATTTATACACATATTCAAATTAAATAAGGATCTAATAGAATATTTCTAGCCACATGGCCACCCAGACACTCAGATCCTCATAAGGCAACTCACAAACTTGAGTAAATCTAAGATGATGAAGTTGACTTTTTGAGTGAAGGACTGAAAATTGTACCCTTTGTCAATCAGTACTAACCAGTAACTTTTTGCTCATTGGGGGAATGATAAAGGAATTCTTAGTTCTGTGTTTATAGATCTCTCCTTCCTATCCCTTCTCACCACCTGAAGTAGTGAGAGTCATTTAGAGATCATTGCAATGGTCCAGAGAGAGAGGGTGATGGTCAGGTCTAGAGAGGAAACAGAGAAGCTGTCTTGGACAGGCTCACTTTGAGATGCTTACTGAACACAGTAGCCTGTTTCCTCCTGAGTTTGTAGTTGCAGATAGATGATCTAGAAACAGGTGGTGGGGAGAGAGAGAGAGAAAGTCAGAAAAAAAGTACGGAAGAAAAGGAAGTGGGGAAAGGCAAAGGAGGAAACCCAAGAAATATACAATACTTAAAATTAAAGAAGAGGAATGAGAGTCAAAGGTAGTTTTTTAAAAGGCAGGAGGATTAGAAAAGTGTTATCATAAAAAAACAGTTTGAAAGAGAAAGTCAGTGAGGAGCTATCAAGGGTAGGAAGAGACGGTCAAAGACATCAAATACTGCACAAAAATTAGGCAGTTGGAAACTAAAGCTTTATTGGTGATCTTTGGCAAAGTCATTTCAATAAAGTGGATGTAGAAGTCAGATTGGTGAGTTGAAGAGATAATGGGAGAAAATTTTCCACCCCTAATTTTTTGTAATAAGTTTGGATTATTCAGTGACTATATTAACTAAAGGGAAAGTTGGTAAAATCCATACAGTATGCAGAAATTATTTTAAGTTTGGTAAAAAGGGAAGAAGACAATGACACAGCAGCTCCAATGGCTGCCAGGTCAAATTTTTAGCCTACAAACAATTTTATAGGCTGGAAAGAAAGTGCCAGAGCCAAAAGAATGAAAGAAACTGAAAATGCAATGACACAAGGGATAAACAACACAAGAAGGTTATAAAGGTAAAGAAGAAAGAGAGATCAAGAGCACAAGTCTAGCACTGACTTTGCAAAGGAAAAGAGGTCCCTCTTGTTTAGAGATGAATGGCAGGAAGAAAGGATAGGTGAAGATGTATGAAATCAATTTAAATTTGAGGGTATAATTTTTAAGTTAGAAAGTTCTCACCTATTTTATTTTCTGTGTGATATGAGGAGAATACATCACCTGTAGAGGGGGAAAAATTGTTTAGGATTATCTCCTCTAATCCTCCAACTCTCTCATAAAAGTGGCACTATCATTCCCTCTACTCAGCAATGCAAAATGAGGCTCAGAGAAATTAAGGAACTCTCCCAAAGCCACTTAGTCAATATTTGGCAGTGTGACAGCAGAAACTTGTTCTTAATTGGTATGCTCTTTGGAACAATCTGAAATTCCTACATGTAGCCAGGTAGCATATGACTGCAAAGTGGGAAGTAAATTCTAAAGGTCATAGGGTACAAATTTGAGGCCTAAGAATATTTACCATAGCTGTATGTATAGATTTCTAATGTTTTATGAGCATTAGCCAGTCTCTGAAAATGCAAATCACCTGTAGATGAAAAGACGCCTCTCCAACTCCCAGCCAAAAGAAGAGTACACCAGTGCTGTTAGTTTCCACTGCTCAATTTAGCCTTTCAAATACACTCAATTTGTATAAGGTAGCATAGATGATTTGCAGTGGTTTCAATGTGAAGCTAACATTAAAGGTGATTTGAAGCTGTTCATCATTTCTTACTGCAAGGTTCCACATTATGAGTACTGAGTCAGAAATCTCATTACTTTAATAGCATAGAGCAAGCATAATATACAATGCAGGAGACATTTGATAAACAATGATCTCTCAAAAGTGTTAGACTTCATTCACACAAGCTTAAGTCTTCAACCATAAAACTCTCTTTCATGAGGGTGTCTTGAGTACATTCTGTTCTTTGATATGTGGGAGAATAAGAAAAGGCAGTTCCTGCTTTCAGGAATTTATGATCTCATTAGAAGAAGAGAATTCGTAAAACAGCTAAAGAGTAAAACATAATAAAATGATATTTCAAAACATAAATGTAATATGATTAAGACAAGAACCATCAGTGTGTACTACAGAAACCTGTAAAATGTTTCATAAAAGAGAAAGATAAGGAAGAAGTCCCTCTAAAATATTTGCTGAATGAATGTCAAAATGTAGGAAGTAAGAGGTAGGGAGGCAAGGAAGGCTGATTTGAAGGTTAAATGAAAAAACAGTTCCCTAGCCAAACTGACTGACACATTGCTTATTTTAGTTAAAAAAGATTTTTATATGAGGACAACAATACAAATATGCCTTATTTTATGCATAAATATAGACTTGAAAAGGTCATGCTTAGATCATTTGTCAGATACTAGGAAACTACTGTTTGCAAAGAGACATTTAAAAAACAGTAATCTTCGATTTAGTTGTATACTTATACTCTGTATATCAAATGACTTTAAAGCAAGTTCTATCTGTAAATAACTCATTTCATCTTAAAATAACACTATAAATAGCCTAAAACATAAATTTCCAAAACTTCGTTATTAACGCATAAGTATACCACCCAGAAAAATCAAAGAAGTTTGAGTTGTTTGCAAAACAATGGAGTTACCAATAACTAGACATTACTAGAGCAGCTTGAAAACTGATTTTCTAGTACAAATACTATTGAAACATTTTAGAAGTTGCTTTTCACTTCTCTATAATTTCAGCTCATAATTCTGATTTTTGTTAATACAAGAAATGTTTCTTCCTACATGTCTAATATACCTAGCCTGTTACCCCAAATTTATTATAAACATATGTCTAAATGTATTTACATTTTTAATCGTAAGGTTGCATATCTACCAAATATTTCCATTTTGAATACTGAAACTAATCAAAAGTTAAAGAACTCTTCCCAAGACCACAAAATCAATATTGTGCAATATAACTCAAGACTTGTTGATATGGTTTGGCTCTGTGTCCCCACCCAAATCTCATCTTGAATTATAATCCCCACATATCAAGAAAGGGACCTGCTGGGGGGTGATTGGATCATGGGGGCAGTCCCCCCATGATGTTCTCATGATAGTGAGTTCTCATGAGATCTGATGGTTTAAAAATGTAGCACTTCCTCTCCCTCTCTCTCTCTCTCTCTCTCTCTCTCTACATATATATATATATATATATATATATATATATATATATATATATATATATATATATATATATCCTGCTGCCTTGCATTCCCCTTCCCCTTCTGCCATGATTGTAAGTTTCCTGAGGCCTTGTCAGCCATATGAAACTGTCAGTCAATTAAAGCTCTTTCTTTATAAATGACCCAGTCTCAGGTAGTTCTTTATAGCAGTGTGAAAACAGACTAATACCCTTGTCCTTAACTAGTATGCCCTTTGAAACAATCTTATATTCCTACATATAGCCAGGTAACACATACTAGGGAAGTGAGAAGTTAATTCAAAAGATTATATCATGGAAACTTGAAGCTTAAGAACATTTACATAAATAAATAAGTCTATATAAAACTGGGCTCTATTGTAAGCCGCAAATTGTTTGTCTATCATATTTAAAGCAGAATCGTGCAATTAATTTAAGTTTTAAAAAAGGACAGTACATGCAAGACAATGTTTATCTTGAATAAGATCAAGAAATCTTTTTTTAAATTTTTTTATAAAAAGCCAGTCAAATTTACCAGTGGGGTGGGGGGTGGGGGGTTGTACACCAACTTCAGTAACACTGATGTTAATAAGTTCTGATAATCCACTACCCTCAGGCCAGCCAAGAAATCAATTCTTTAAAGAAGAATATAGTTTCTTGTTTTTTCTTTTTTCAAAATTTAACTCAGGTTTTTACTTTTTCACATGTTAATATGACTTAAACAGTAAAATGAAAAGAGAAAACCTCAGAAGACGTAGACAGAAGTTAATACACAGAGCTCAACTGCAAACTATGTGCATATTCTAATTTTTAAAAGCATAACACACATAAGCAGTGGACAGTTCAGACAAACACTCACAAAAAGCACCATCACCAGCATCTTGGAAGACTTCTTTGTGGTCCTTCTTGCAGCTGCTCCCTCCACCCCCCAAACACAACCACTATTTTGGGTCAAACGCCACAGATTTTTTTTGCATATTTTTGAGCTGCATATTAACTGTTAATATAATTGCACAGTATACCTCATTCCTTTTGCTCATCATCATGATGGTAAGATTCACCCATGTTTTTGAGAGTAGTTACAGTACATTCATATTCATTGCTGCAGTGTTTCATTGCATAAGTGGACTACAATCTATACATTCATTTTAGTATGGATAGGCATGGGAGTTGTCTCCACTTTTTGAGTATTACAAATAATGCTGTTATGAACTTTGTTTTACATCTCTCTTAGTCTTCATGTATATGCATTTCTTTTGGGTATATACACAGAAGTGGGATTGCTGGGTTATAGTATGCATATGTTCAAAATTAGTGAACTGTCTCCAAAATGATGGTGCTAATCTATGTTACTACCAGTAGTATATGAGAATTCATCATCTTGTCAACATTTAGTATTGGCAATCTTTTCATATTTGAGCCATTAATTTGCATTTCTCTGATACTAATTGAGATTGAACACCTTTGTTATGTTTATTAGTCATCTGGATATCCTATTTTGTAGAATGCCTGTTCAAGAACTTGCCATTTCAAAAATGGCTTGTCTTTTTTCTATTGATTTATAGGGATGTCTTATATTTTTGTTATTTGGTTATGCATGTTGCAAACATCCACTCCTATTTGTGATTTACCTTTCATTCTCTAATGGAATCTTTATCAACAAAAGTTCTTAGTTTTGGGCCTGGCACAGTGGCTCATGCCTGTAATCCCAGCACTTTGGGAGACCGGGCGGGCAGATCACCTAAGGTCAGGAGTTTGAGACCAGCCTGGCCAACATTGTGAAACCCTGTCTCTACTAAAAATATAAAAATTAGCTGGGCATGGTGGTGGGCACCTGTAATCCCGCTGAGGCAGGGAGGCTGAGACAGGAGAATCACTTGAACCCAGGAGGTGGAGGTTACAGTGAGCCAAGATTGCGCCATTGCACTCCAGCCTGGGCAACAAGAGCAAAACTCTGTATGAAAAAAAAAAAAGTTCTTGGTTTTAATATAGTCCAAATTTTCTCTTATATTATCAATGAATTTTATGTCTTTCTAAAAAAAGTATTCCTTATCCTAAAATTATGAAGATATTTACTGATAGTTTATCTTTTACATTTGCATCAACATTCACATAGAATTGATTTTTTGTATGTATGTTCTAGAGATAAGTTTTATTTTTTCCTCTTTGGATTGTTTAACCCAACCAGCAAATTTATCAAAACAGAAAAATTACCTTAAATCAAATTTTCATATGTTTTTGAATGTATTTCTACATGACTGGATTCTATCTCATTGGGCACCAATAGTATCTTATTTACTGTAACTTCGCAAAAAAAAACTTAACAATTTCTTAAACAACAGAAATTTATTTTCTCAGAATTCTGGAGGCCAGAAGTCCAAGATCAGGGTGTCTTCAGGACTGGTTTCTTCGGCGGCCTCTCTTTCGCTTGCAGATGGCCATCTTCTCCCTGTGTTTTCCAATGGCCTTCCCTCTGTGCATGTGTCCCAATTTCCACTTCTTACAAGGACATCAGTCATATTAGATTTGGGCCTCTTGATGGCTTCATTCTAACTTAACCAGCTCTTTACAGGCCCTATCTCCAAATACAGTCACATTCTGAGGTAGCAGGGATTACATACAAATTTGGGGAAGATACAGTTCAGCTCATAATAAGATGACATAAATAATATAATAATTTCTACGTTTTAAGCTTTTGCAACATACCTGGTACACTGGTAAGTATTGCACTATCTCATTTCACCTTCAAAAAATCCTATTTTTTTATCTGCACTTTACATTTAAGGATCTTGAGAATCACAGCAATCAAGAAATTTAGACTCTTGATATCAGAAAGTGTAAGTCCTCCTGCCTCTTTCTTCAAGGGTGTCTCAGCTATTTTACTTATTCTTGTCACCTTTCATTAACATATACATTTTGAAATCAGCATTTCAGTTTCTAACAAAAAAAACCTTGACAAAATTTTGATTGCGATTATTCTGAGTTTGTGTATCTGCTTTTCTTCAATAATATTTCACCTTTCCCATGTAGGAATATGATCAGTACTAGGTATAACATTTGATACTTTTGTGCCATTTTCAAGGACATGTCTCTTTTAAATATTATTTTATTGTTGGTATATTTCGGTCTTGGCATATATTCTTGGTAAAGTTTATTTTATTATTGGTGTATTCAAATCATGTTTTAATATTAACCTCATGTTCACAACCTTGGCTAAATTCACTTATTAATTTTAATAGTTCAAATATACATCATGGAATATATAAACATATTGTCAGTGAATAATAGTTTTGTTTGTTCCTTTCCAACTATATTCCTTTTATTTCTTTTACTTACCTTCTTTCTCTACACATCTGATAACATTTGAATAGAAGTGGTGATAGTGAACATAATTTTCTCCTTTCCACTCTAAGAGAGAAGGCTGTCAGCATTTTATTATTAAGTATAATGTTTGCAGTAGGATTCCTTTATAGCTATCTTTATCAAATGGACTTCTATTCCTAGATGCTAAATGTTTTTACTATAAATAGATTTATTTATTTATTTATTTATTTTTGAGGTGGAGTTGCACTCTGTTAAACAGGCTGGGGTGCAGTGGAATGATCTCGGCTCACTACAACCTCCATCTCCCCAGTTCAAGCAATTCTCCTGCCTCAGCCTTCCGGGTAGCTGGGTGCCACCATGCCCAGATAATTTTTGTATATTTAGTAGAGACACGGTATCACCTTGTTGGCCAGACTGGCCTCGAACACCTGACCTCAAGTTATCTGCCCGCCTCAGACTCCCAAGGTGCTGGGATTACAGGCGTGAACCACCGTGCCTGGCCTATAAATGGATATTAAATATTACCAATTGAGCTTGTGTTTACATTGACAGGATGCCATAATTGCCCTCCTTTGATCTTTCAAAGTGGGAAATTACATTAAATAATTTTCTGCTGTTAAATCTAACTTACATTGCCAAAAATCTCAATCTTGTGTTTCCATATCCTAAAAAAATTACACATCATTTTTTTCAAGTTTGTGTTTGATATTTCCATTGTCTGGAACCTCTGTGAGTCTCTATCTTTTGTTTCTTTAGTTTTCTATCATGTTTTCAAGTGTTCTCATGTCTGTTTTGTTGTTGTTGTTGCTGCTGTTGTTTGTTTGTTTGACTACCAGCTGTTTTATATGGAAAATTAAAGAGATAACTTGAAGCCTGTGATGATATTATCTTTCTCCAGAGAATATTTTATTTTGATCCTTTGGAGTTTACCAGAAATATTAGCAAGTCCATATCCATTTGATATAATCAGGAACTGAGATTGTTCTATGTCTGGTTTCCATTCCAAGGAGAAACACTTTATTTCTACTATTAGCTTACACCTAAGGACAAGATCTTTGGAGTCTAAACCACTGCCATGGCAAGTACTAACTTCCAAGTTCTATTCCCCCACTGCAGCCCTGTGAATCTGTTAAAATGTCTACTTGGTGTAGACATTTTGTCTACACCAAGGCAAACTTCTCACTTGCCTCTTCCAGAATCTGAAAACACAAGCAAGAAAGCCTCCCTAAGCCTAATTTAGCATCCTGGGTTTCATTTTTCTCTTGGACTTTGGTCCTATAATTATTTGTTAGCAGGCTGGCTCTCTGATATCTTCAAGCAAATGTTTGTAAATGTTTTGGAGATTTCCTAACTGTTCTTAGTAAGAAGTTGGTCTAATTTATATATATAGTCCCTCATGTTTGTTGGTGATTGTGTGTTTGTGTGTGTGGGTGTGTGTGTGAGACAGAGAGAAATTTTAAAATTTTCTTCAGATTATCTTAATGATTGAGAAGTCGTTACACTGAGTTTTAAATGTTAAAACCCTGCATTGATAATTTAATCATTTTTAGAGTATAAGAGACTCATAAATTGTGCAGGATTGAAATTACAAATATTTTATGCACAAGCAAATTGATGTTGCAAATAAATATGCAACTACAAAATATATTAGTGAATATATATCCTTCTCAGGGATTAGTTATGGCACAAGCAGTAGCTAGCACTGGAGAAGAAACCAGAAGGCAGTACCAGCCATATAATGAAAGCAGGCAGATCAGAGCAAGACTAAGAATCCAGATCTTGGATGAAGGGAGGAGTATAAGGGTCAACTGGGGGACAAAGTCAGATTAAAACTGAAAACAAAATCTAGAATCCACAGTACAAATCCAACTTTACAAAAGCTGACCATGATGGGGCCAAAATAGTGTTATATTTCTTCCACTCTACTTTCCTATCTACTTTTTATTTTCTCTAAAAGTCTCTACACTTTTTAGAGTACACAGAATATAGTATATACTACATAGTAAAAACTGGACACACACATAGACACATATGTAAAGATATGGTTTGACTTTGTCCCCACCCAAATCTCATCTTGAATTCTAGTTCCCACAATCCCCATGTGTGATGGGAGGGACCTGGTGGGAGGTAATTGAATCATGGAGGCAGTTTCCCCCATACTGTTCTCTTGATGGTAAGTTCACAAGATCTGATGGTTTTACAAGAGGCTTTTTCTCTTTTACTCATTCTTCCCTTGCTGCTGCCATGTGAAGAAGGACATGTTTTCTTCATCTTCCACCATGATTGAAGGTTTCATGAGGCCTCGCCACCCATGCTGAACTGTGAACCAATTAAACTTCTTTCCTTTATAAATTACCCAGTCTCAGGTATGTCTTCACAGGAGTGTGAAAATGGACTAATACATAAAATAACTTAATGAATATATGAATATGGGCAAAATAATATAGAACCAAGAGAACTTCACAAGCTTCTGACTCGAAGAACAACAATGATTGTGTGCATGGCAAGGAATAGGAAGGTGGATGGTAAGAGCTTATCCTAAAGGGTGCCAATGCAGCAAGAAACATGTCATAATAACATTCTCAGTGACTGCTTCCAAAGGTGTTTCTATGTCAAACAGTTACATTCTCTGCAAACAATTTAAAAACCTGCTTATGATGTAAGTAAAGTGGAAGAGGGTAAATTGAAGTAAGAGCAAAGCTAGGATCATACTTTTGGCTAGATCTCAGGTGGGAAAGCTAAAGAAAAAAATTTCCAAGCCTAGGTAAGGATGCTAAAAATTTCATTCAAGAAAAAGCAACTATTATTACTCATATGATATTTTATAAAGGGTAATAATATTTAATCTATTTTGTTATATTTATTTTCACCAAAAAATTTTAAAGCCAGGCACGGTGGCTCACTCCTGTAATCCCAGCACTTTGGGAGGCCAAGGCAGGCAGATCACAGGGTCAGGAGATCAAGACCATCCTGGCTAACACGATGAAACCCTGTCTCTACTCAAAATACAAAGAAATAGCCAGGCATGGTGGCAGGCGCCTGTAGTCCCAGATACTCTGGAGGCTAAGGCAGGAGAATGGCATGAACCTGGGAGGCGGAGCTTGCAGTGAGCCGCGATTGCGCCACTGGACTCCAGCCTGGGTGACAGAGCAAGACTCTGTTTCAAAATGCACCTTAAGTATTGAGATTAATTATAATAAAATGTGTTCTGTGAAATATTATATCTCTTATATGATATAAAATTATTGCCCAAGAAGTTACTTGAAAGAATTAAAATACCGTAAAGCTCTAATTCTGAGGCTCTTACTAATAGCAATCAAATTACCAGGAAATATTATGATGCACTTTGGGAGGCAGAGGCAGGCAGATGACGAGGTCAGGAGTTCGAGACCAACCAGGCCAACATGGTGAAACCCCATCTTTACTAAAAATACAAAAAAGCTGGGCGTAGTGGCAGGTGCCTGTAATCCCAGCTACTTGGGAGGCTGAGGCAGGAGAATTTCTTGAACCCAGGGGGCAGAAGTTGCAGTAAGCCGAGATCGCGCCTCTTCACTCCAGCCTGGGTGACAGAGCGAAACTCCATCACAAAAAAAAAAAAAAAAAAAAAAGAAAAAGAAAAAGAAAGAAAGAAATATTATGATGCAAACTCAACTGTAAGAGCTTAAGGAGTAAGAACACTAGGATGCACAAGTAGAGCAGGTAGAGGCAGGTTCGTATTCAATGTGGTTCAGATGACAGAGCTGAGGATAAAGTGGTGAGTCCAGTGTGATTCCATGCCGTAGCAGAACTGACAAGAGGGAAGAGAGACATGGAACAGATGCAGGTTATAAAATGTTACAGCACTCTTATAGTTACACACATGGGTAAAGTTATGGTCCGAAAGAATAAGGACATAAGGAACAATAAGATGTGTAGATAAAGAAGAGGACATTTGAGTTTTCAAAGAGCAAATGTTCAGCTGAAAGGACATGCCGGGCCAAAGGGGCATCCAGAGCAGATATGTAATGCCCTGACCTCCGAGGGAAACCTGTATGGCTCTCTGGTTGAATCCCACATGTGACAGTACATGACAATTATCATGGAATGTCACAAGAAATTAAAATAATTACAAAGGGAAATATGACCATTGGTTCTGTTTTCTTTTCCAAAGTAAACCTTTAAAATTTATTAATTTGTTTATTTATTTAGAGACAGGGTTTCGTTTTGTCACCCAGGCTGGAGTGCACTGGTGTGATCTCGGCTCACTGCAACTTTTGCCTCCTGGGCTCAAGCAATCCTCCCACCTCAGCCTCCAAGTGACTGGGACTACAGGCACATGCCACCACTCCCAGCTAATTTTTTTATGTTTTTATAGAGACCGGTTTTCACAATGTTACCCAGGCTGGTCTCAAACTCCTGAGCTCAAGCAATCCACCTGCCTCAGCCTCCCAAAGTGTTAGGATTACAGGCACGAGCCACCGCACCCGGCCTAAAATTTACATTCGTTAATTACTTACTACTTTGAAAATATTTTAAAAGTGGATATCAAGCATTAGCATAATATATATATATATATATATGAATCAAAAATCACAGTAAAGACCAGACTACACATTTTTCCTTCTAGAAACAAATGAAAATTTAAAAAAATGAAAGGCGATTATAGATGAAAATTTCATCATCCTAAAACACAGGGACTGCATTAGGGTCATACTATCAGATTTGGAGAACACATTGAAATTTGAATCAAACTTCTCTTCAAGAACATCCTGGGAAATTACCAATAACTCTCTTCTATGAGAGGGTGCTAAAATGACAAAGGGGGTAGTAAATTCTGGAAGAAAAAACATGAACAGTGATTTACTAACCTAGTGCTGCATAAGACATTACCTGAAAGCTATCTGCTTAAAGCAATGAATATATATTATCTCACAGCTTTTGTGGATCAGGAATTTGGGAGCAGTTTTGCTACATGGTTCTAGACTAGGGTCTCTCATGAGGTTGCATTTAAGACAAGCCAGGAGAGCTATCATTTGAAGCCTTCACTGGAGCTGAAGGATCTGCTTCCAAGAAGGCTCACTTGCATGGCTGTTGGCAGAAGGCCTCAGTTCCTTGCTGCTGTGGGCAGGAAGCTTTGGTCCCTGGATACATGAACCCTTCATGTCACTGCTTGAGCATCCTTACAACATGGCAGCTGGCTTTCCTCAGAGACAGTGACCCAAGATGAGAGAGGAAGGCTGAAACTACAATATCTTTCATGGCCTAGCCACAGAAATCACACACTATCATTTCTGCCTTATTCTATTTATTAGAAGCAAGTTACTAAGTCCAGCTCATACTTAAGGGAGAAGGAATTAGGTTCCATCTTTCGAAAGGAATGTCAAAGAATCTGTGGACATATTTTAAACCACCACATATAGCCACCAATATATTGGTATAAGGGTAAGAGGTGTCAGGAGACTATGAAAAAGACAAGGAATGCCCATTTTAGAGCTGTATTTCCAACCTTAAATCAACAACTTTTTGAGAAGTCCATAGTAACAAACGTTTAGAAGAAGAAGCTCACAGCCCTTAGAGTGCCATTTTTTTCTTTATGACCAAGTTTCATAATTATGACAGAAGCTTGCCACAGTAAGGAAAACATGCAATGTGAATGTTCTGGCACATTACATGGAGGAAGAAAGTCAACAATAGGTGAGGAGCCAACTGCATAGGAAGGCATCAACAACAGTCAGGGAAGGTAGCAGCGTAGAAGAACATATTAATAATGCACCAAAGACAAAGTCCACAGACCCTAGGGCTCTTCTGCAAGGGGACTTCTTTCCAAAGTAGCCAAGGCATTACTGAGTCTCTGGAAGGTAGAAAAGTGGTGGAAAGACCAATGTATAATTCAAATAGCTCTCCCCACTGCGATATTATATTTTAACTCCTTAGCTAGCTGAGCTCAGCTTCACTGGCACCATTTCAAGAAATATATACAGAAAATTAACCACATTTCCCAAGTTGAATTTCCCAAAGACCCAACTACTTCCACAATTCCCACCTGACAGCTAAGCGGCTAAAAGGAAGTCCACAATCATCCAACCCTTCAGTCAATTTATGGCAGGAGAATCCATATAGTGCCTAGGGAGACAGGAAGAACCAATAATCTGTTCACAGTATTTTAGGAAAACCTCAAGCCTGGGCAGTAGAGCTCTTATGCAAAAATGAGTAAGGAGTAGAGAGAAGGTCAAATACAGAACTAATGCAAAAATTCTGATACAAGAAAAGAAGGAAAACATGTGAAGTATTTCTGCCTTTTCACATACAAATTTTTTTTTTTTACAGATGAACCAGAAGCTAAATATTGTAAGCAATCAACTGAATCTGCTAAGTGTGACATTAAGAGTTTTATGTGAATTCAGCATACAGAACTTTGTTTTAGTTGGTGGCTTCAGCTGAGTTTGGCCAGCAGGAGGCGATGACAGGAGATTTCTGCTTCCTCCCTGCTTTTGTGATATTCTGACTTAGCCATATGCCTTTAAGATAACAGTTGCTGGCAGAAGGGCCCCTTTCCATTGTTGCAGCTCTCATCAGGCTCTGGAAACACATCTCTTTCCCTGGCATCAGGAGGGGCAGCGTGGTCCTGATGCTGCTAATCTCTGCATGTGTTAACACACCCTGTGGTTACACTAATTTGGCAAACACCTTTGTAAACTAAAAAGTTTCCTCAAACACTTCAACACTGGGTACTGTTACCCGTTAGGAATCTCCTGATGCAATGTATATTTTTCCCAATATACTTACTTTAAGTTGTTTTAGTTGTGTTTATTTTTTGCTGTCCATTTATTGCCTCTGACTTTGCCTACATAATTTTTTATTTATTTCTAACTACTAAGTAAAATTATATATATTTGTGGTGTACAACAGATTTCAATATATATATATATATACACATTGTGTATTGGCTAAATTAAACTAATTAACATATGTATTAATCATTTTTTTTGTGATAAGAACACTTAAAATCTACCCTCGGCAATTTTCAAGCATACAATACATTGCTATTAGTCATAGCTACCTTGATATAAGATAGATCTCTTGAATTTATTCCTCCTGCCTAACTGAAATTTTGTACCTTTTGACCAACATCTGTCTGCCCAATGTTCCCATCCTTCAGCCTCTGGTAATCTCCATCCTACACTGCTATGACTGACAATATTCAGGACAGTTCTACCTACTACTTCTTTCATATTCTGACATTATCGGTTTTCATGCTAAATAAATGTTGCCAAAATTACTGTATTATTGACATCTAATATATTCTTACCTAATACTTTTCTGTTTGTATTCTCTTTATTTTTTAGAATTCTTTGACACTGAAAGTAACGTGGCAACTAGAAGGCATTAAAAACATAATTGGTATAGTATAAAAAGTTTTTTAAATGTATGGTTACTTATAAGTATACTCCTAAAGAAAATAGCCGCTTTACTTAAATTATTAGCAATGGGAAAAAGACTCAATTTTCTCATCTTGTAGCCACCCAATTGGTCTCATATACATTGTATTTCATTAAAACTAAAAAAGTTTTAAAGAAATTTCTAATTAACATACACAGAGGAACAAAAAAGCTGCAGGCTATTGAATTAAACGTCATACAGCATCAGTAAAACTTTTCTGCCAGTGGGTACAGTTTTAACATGCATATAAAATAGCGTGTTCTCCCTAGGAATAAAAGATTATATGCTAGCTAAAGGGTAATACTTTCTTGTATAGCTCTGTTATTCTCAACATCTCTATTTTCCAGTTGCAAATACATCCTGTTAAAATGCATTTTCAATATACCCTACCTTTAAGTGGATAATACTAGGACTTTTCAAAGTATCAATTAGCAATAAGCTTCAATTCATAGAACAAATACATCTGACTCACGTGGGGTTAACATTTCATTTATTTCAATAAATGCAATTTTCTTTAAAACTTGACCATTTTATACTATAATTTAAGACTTTGTTCCAAGAAAGAAAATGAAACTATTTTTATCTTTCAGTATTTGAACACTCAACAACAAATTCAATGTAGTAAAATAGGTTATAGGATTTGAGATGGATAGAACTAGAATAGACACAGAAACTAAAACTTCAGAAGTGGCAGAAAACTGCCTCAATAGTCAAATATTATAGAATGTGGTACATGCAGTCACTACTCTTCAGACCTTTTTCTTGCCTGCATGGATTTTTGATCACCATCTTTCTCAAGGAGGCATTATATTGGAGAACTCTCTTACAAAACATTCCATGGCATCATGCCCAGAGTTTTTATTCTAGTACTCTAGGATGATTCCTAGCCATCTGTATTTTAAACTGAACCTACAGAACTCTAACGATCAACTAGGTTTGGCAACCAGTGTTGTAACTAATCATTAGGAGTATTAGAACATGGACAGAGTCCAAGTTCTAACTTAATGTGATATAAGGCAATCACTTAATCACCAGAGACTCAATCACTTAATCTTCATGTATAGGTAATTCATGTTTTAGGGAAAAATCCCTTTACTTTCATGGCAATTGAGAGGTAAAATAAAATCAAGTGATGACCACCTCAGTACTTGGCACACGCTAGGCATGCATATATAGTGTACTTCATCTTGCCAGCAACTCTATAACTTTCTAATATTTTTCATGTGATTTCTGATATACAAATGGACTCCTTTCTGATTGCATATTAATTCATATTTTTTCCTAAAGACTTTTAATGTCAATGCTTGTTCTGTCGGTCCCTTATTGTTCCTATTGTTGACCTGGTAGAATCAAACTCCAGAAAACTGTGTCTCCAGGATTTCTGTTACTGTCTCATCTGATTCTGATACTTGTACTTGCTTGAAGCACCTGACTCTCTTCTACCTCGTGGACTCTTGGAATTACAAAGTATGTTAGACTTTAAATCATATCTTATCTTACAACATGGAAACCAAAGACTAAAGTTTAAGTCTTTGGTTTAAGTGGCTTATCTAAAATTACACAGCTCATCAGAGACTAGAAACCAAATCTCCCTATTCCCAGTATTTTATTCTTAGCTATTTAGGTCAAACAAGTTCCAGAAACCAAAATGGCAAATCAGAATGTAGCTCTAACTGTATTCAACTTGTATACAAATGTTTGGACATTCTACATTTACATCATAGTTAGCAATTTTACCACAAAAAAAGAATATGGTAAATAATTACCCTTGGTGATAAATGTCATCTTTTTTCTACAAATTTTGAGGCTCTCTTAACTATTTACTAGAGATAATAAACCAAGTGGCAGGATGTAGTGACAAACTAGAAATAGATACAGGTATAGACATAGATAGACATATACACATAGGTGTGCACACACATACATATACATATATATACGATAAAACTTTGAAGAGGGATAAATTTTCATTTTTGTTGAAGCACTTACTCTCTTATCAGAGTTCATTTTAATTTTATCTCTCCACATTTATCTCTTTAGATTATCTTCAACCAAGTCTTACCTCCATATTGCTTAGTGTCCAAGACTGTAAAATGCTTTTAATATGTTTGTATAATACATAATTAGGAAATAAATTAGATACTGGTACTAGAAAAAATTATCAATATAAAATTTACAGGTTTAAAACAATTTTATAGGGTCAAATATTTGAGAGTAAAGGGTATCAGTGTTATACTGAATATAAGCTATAGTTTGAGCTCTTAAGAGGCATTTCACATAGTGATGACTCATTAAATACATTTTTAAATGAAAATAATGACTACCTCTAAAGATATTCAGCTTCATTACTTTGTAATACGCATAGGATCAGAAAGTAAGCTTTAAAAAATCTTGACAGCAGTCATCTCTGAATTAGCGTAATGACTACACAAGAAATGATCGATTCTCAGCAAGTTGCATGTATGCGTATGCCATACTAAAACACTTAAAAGTAGCTGTCGTAAGGAGATTAAATGTGACCCAGGCAAATGTGCTTGCACCACTGATTTGTAAGTGAGCCAACAAACAAAGGAGCCTGTCTATGAGTCTACTTCATGATTGCCAGATGAATTCGTGACAGCTCTGCCTTGGAAACGAGGAACCAAGTTGTGCTTCCCTGGACCTGAATTGTGTAAAACTTTGCCCAACTCGTTACAGCAACCTGGCTTGCCAGCACCCATTTCTTCCCAGAACATCAGGAGATCACTGAAGAATCAAAGTAACAGGGGCCATTGTTCAACTTCTCTCAGTATTGCCAGAATGTTCTGAATTGAGGGGAACTGTATTAAAAGTTGCTTTCCTTTTCTCCGGTATGCCTTTGTGACCATGGATTTGGGACAATTATAATAAAAACAAATAATTGGGAGTGAATGTAAGTCCCAGATTGACAAAAGGATCAGGAAATAAGCACACCATAAGAATTAGAATAGGTTGAATATTTAAACTTTGTGTTAGAAGTAAAATTTCTGCTGGTATAAGGTTATGACTATCTTTTTTTGGGAAGGACTGTGATATGGTTTGAAGGTTTGTCCACTCCAAATCTCATGTTGAAATGTGACCCCTCAATGTTTGAGGTGAGGCCTAGTGGATGGTGTTGAGTCATGGGGGCAGATCCCTCGTGAATAGCTTGGTGCCCTCCCTCCCCATGGTCATGATTTCATTCTTGCTCTGTTAGTTCATCTGAGAGCTGGTTGTTTAAAGAGCCTGGCACCTCCTCCCCTCTCTTGCTCACTCTCTCTCACCATGTGATACAATGGCTCCCCCTTTGCTGTCAGCCATGATTATAAGCTTCCTGAGGCCACACCAGAAGCAGATGCTGGCACTACACTTCTTATAGTCTGCAGAGCTGTGAAGCAAATAAACCTTTTTTCTTTATAGATCACCCTGTCTCAGATATTCCCTTGTAACAACACAAAACGAACAGATACAGACTGTCCTTTAACTCGAAGTTATTTTATTCTACTTTATAGTGAAATATACACATATACACATACATATATACACATGTATATACATATGTGTATATATATACACATGTATATACATATGTGTATATATATACACGTATATATACATATGTGTGTGTATACACACGTATATATACATATGTGTGTGTATACACACGTATATATACATATGTGTATATACACACGTATATATACATGTGTGTATATACACACACATGTACATATACATATGTGTGTATATACATGTATATATACATATGTGTGTATATACACATATATACACACGTATATGCATATATGCATATATACACATATACACATATATACATATATACACATATATACATATATGTGTGTATATGTATATACATGTGTGTATATATACAATATGTGTATATATACAATATGTGTATATACACACGTATATGTGTGTATATATACACACACGTATATGTGTATATACACACAAGTATATGTGTATATATACACACACGTATGTGTGTGTATATATACACACACGTATATGTGTGTGTATATACACATACACATGTATATGTGTGTATATATACATATATATATATTTGAGACAGAGTCTTGCTCTGTCATGTAGGCTGGAGTGAAGGGGCACCATCTTGGCTCACTGCAATTTCCACCTCCTGGGCTCAAGTGATTCTCCTGCCTCAGCCTCCTGAGTAGCTAGGACTACAGGTGTGTGCCACCACACCCAGCTACTTTTTTGTATTTTTAGTGGAGATGGGGTTTCACCATGTTGGCCAGGCTGGTCTTGAACTCCTGACCTACTCACAATATATATTTTTACACATAAAATTTTCATAATTGTTACTGTGCTTGTCAGTTTGAGGCATCCTTACTTGGCAAGACAAAAAGTTTAAAATAGGATGAAAACAAAAAATATGCAGTACATTCTCTGTTAATGACCAGATCTTTTCCCCTTCCCATTTCTCAGCAAGTGGACAAAACAGAAAAGATTCTAAAAAATCATTTTTCCTCTATCTGAAACATTTCAAGGAATTAGCAAAGAGTTAAAATCAGAAATGTTTATCTCCAAATACAGGAGAAAGGCATTACTTATACTTGCATACAAATTATTAATTAAAAGTTGATATTGACTCTGGAGGTAAAATAAACTCTGACTTACTATACAAGAAGGACCATTAATGTTGTATAAAATATTTATCTGTGAGGAGTGCAAAGACCAGAAGCATTAAAAATAAAGCCAAATACAACAAGAATTTTGAATACTGCATACAGACTGAACTATCAGACAAGGGAGATACAGCAGAAATCAACCAGGAAAACAAAAAACTACTGAGGCAAGCTATGATTTTTAATAGATTATTGACTTTATGCATAAAAGAAACTAATTAAAGAGTTATGTACTTTTCTAATTAAGACAATTTGACTAAGAAACTTGACTTTCCCAAAATTCTGAGTCCCAAGTTTATAAAGTGTATGCATCCCATCAATGGGCCAATCAAACTACATCTAAATTAGAAGCAAAACAATTACAAAATTTTGGTTGATGAGTTTGGAAATCACCGATGGCTCTAATTTTTAAAACATAGCACAGAGAAAAATCATACATTACAGGAACTTTAAACACTTGGATTCTGAGATTCAAATTCAAGCTCTAACATTTACTAACTAAAGGAATTTGGGTAATTGCTCGAAAGCATATATTCTCAAATATCTAGTGGAAAATATAGCAAGATCCTTGTAAGATAGGTAAGTGGATTAAATAACATAATCATAGGCACCCATTAAAAAGCTATAATTTTAAATATTTTCTAAGTATAATACAGGTTGAGTATCCCTAACCAAAATCCTTTGGAACACAAGTGCTTTGGGAATTTGAACCTTTTTTCAGATATACCAGTTGAGCATCTCAAATCCAAAACTTCAAAATCCAAAATATGCCAAGGAACATTTCCTTTGAATGTCATGTTAGTGCTCAAAAAGTTTCAGATTTAGGAGAATTTTGGATTTTGGATTTTTGGATCTGGGATGTTCAACCTGTTGTGATGCTCACTGTGGAAAATGCATGTCTGAAAATTTTTAAATGCATAATCTCAATAAGAAAAAAACATTAACTTTCTGATGTCTATTTGTCGGGATGGACATAGACACAAAATTTTAAAAGTTTGTTTATGGCGACTTTTATAGTTCAATAGATTTTCAAAATATGTAGCTTAATATATGAGTATATCTTTTATGCATTTTCTGTTTAATCATTTTTTCCGAAGGGACTTAATCACTCTAAAATTACAAACCTTCACTTAAATTGTTATCTTATTCTTTCATTATTATCTTCGTCCATTTGTCCTGCTGTAACAAAATACATGAGAATGGGTAATTTATAAAAAACAGAAACTTATTTCTCACATTTCTGAAGGCGGGGAAGTTCAAGATCAAGAAGCCAGCTGGTTCAGTGTCTCCTGAGGACCCATTCCTTATAGAAGGCACTGTCAAGGTGTCCTCACATAGTGCAAGGTAGAAGGAAAATTGGCCTAAGCTAGCTCCCTTTAGCCATTTTACAAGGCACTAATCCATTCATGAAGGGAGAGGTACTCTTGACTTAATCACTTCCCAACAGGCCTCACCTCGTAATACTACCAAAATGAGGATTAAGCTACAATACGAATTTTGGAAAGGATGCCATCATTCAAATTATAGCAATTATTTTGTTACATTTAAAACTCTACTTCTTCTAGATTCTTGAACATGCATTCTCATTGGGGGTTATACCACCTCCAATGGGGCAAAATTGTTGAGGCTAGGGAGAACAAAAATGTTATATATTAAAATTGTTAACGACGCTCCAAAGGGCCATAGTACAGAAACTGATGTAGAGTATATCTGTATTTTTAAAATTACAGAGAGAGAGGATGAATTAGGAGAAACATATATATTTTATATGACTTGTTGCAGCCAATGACAAAAACAATATTTAGAAACACTGACCTAGAACTTATCTTGGGTATGATATTTTAAAAATCCACTTTTTCATAAATGTTTAGATAGGTGGCCCAATATCATTTATTGAACAAAATATCTTTCCTCACTAATTTCAAGTGACACTTTCATATCCTAAAATTTTATATCTCCTTGGTCTGTTGTTCAATTTCTTTCTATCTTGCCTCAGCTTTCAACTGTACTAATTTTTAATACAGTTTACAGTGTGTATTTTACATGTTATAACACTTCATGGACACATCTTACATTAAAAAAGAGATAACAGCCAGGAGCAGTAGCTCATGCCTCTGATCCCGACACTTTGAGAGGCTGAGGCAGGTGGATCACCTGAAGTCAAGAGTTTAAGACCAGCCTGGCCAGCATGGTAAAACCCTGTTTCTACTACAAATACAATAAAATTAGTTGGGTGTGATGGCAGACACCTGTAATCCCAGCTACTCAGGAGGCTGAGGTAGAAGAATTGTTACAACCCTGGGGGTGGAGGTTGCAGTGAGCTCAGATTGCACCACTGCACTCCAGCGACAGAGAGAGACTCCTTCTGAAAAAAAAAAAAAAGAAAGAAAGAAAAAGAAATAACATATGGTACATGATTTGCTATGGAAAGCCTATTTTAAGATAAGTACTGGTGGCCTTCCAATTTATATTGATCATTAACAAACCTAGACAATTTTAAAGACAAAATATTTGAAAAATTCTAAGGACCCGTCTTCATACAAGAAAAAAACACTAAACTTTCATGCCTTTTTTTTTTTCAATAAAAGCTCTACTTTTTCCCTAGCAATGTGATGTACAACTCAGGAATTTGTAGATATAAATCTTCCTACAGACCCAGCTGCACACTAAGGATCATATCCTAGAAACCCTTATAAAGATTGCCTCCTATATTAAAAGCAACTGCTGATCTACTGAAGCATTTTATAAGTTTGTTCAGTTCTCAAACTTTAATGAGCCTAGGAATACCTTAGGGAAGTTAGCTAAAATATAGATTCAGATTCAGTAGTTCTGGATGAGGGCAAAGATTCTGCATTTCTAATAAATTCCCATGTCATGACAATGCTGCCAGTCATAGATCACACTTTGAGAAGCAAGGCATTAATAGGCATCTGCATTAGTCCATTCTCACAGTGCTATAAACATACTATCTGAGGCTGGGTAATTTATAAACAAAGGAGGTTTATAAAGTAAACTACTTCCACATGGCTAGTGGGACCTCAGGAAATGTACAATCATGGCAGAAGAGGAAGCAGGCACCTTCTTCACAAGGTGGCAGGAGAGTGTGTTAGCATGTGAAGGAAAAGCTGTCAAACACTTATAAAACCATCAGATCTCGTGAGAACTCACTCACTGTCACAAGAACAGCATGGGAGAAACTGCCCCCATTATCCTATCAGCTCACTCCCTCCACAAGTGGGGATTACAGGTCTGTTCCGCCACATGCGGGGATTACAATTTAAGATGAGATTTGGGTGGGGACACAGAGCCAAATCATATCAGCACCTATAACCGAACAAAAGAAAATTAAGTAACTAAGACTAAGGCTTTCTAAAGTGGAGTTGGGAGATTGGGAGAGGACTGCAGTTACCCCTGCTGAAGGTCAAACCACAGAATGTTCCAACAGACTTCGACAAACAACTAAAGTCTGTATCCTCCAGCCTTCAATATCCCTCAGCTGGCAGTATCCTAATTAACTAACCAATCAGAATGGGTTTGTGATTTCAGATTTCTGCCCAGCCAAATAACTGCTTCTGAAAACAACTTGTGTGGAAATCTCTATTAAAAAACCTCTCCTGAGCTTGGCATACAGAACACTATTCAGGGCTGCCCTGATTCAGTGTACCTGAGTTGCAATTATTTATTTCCCAGAAATGCTATAACCTTTGACCTCTGTGTTAATCCCCCTTTTTTTAGTTAAAAACACCATTTTCAATTAGCAACATGGAGGACCTAGAAATACACTAAGTGTAGAGAACATCTAAACAAAAGATAAGAATATCTGCTTTTAAAACACATCATACTACACCTGCATACTCATACGCACAGGCACACATACACAAATACACATGCAGCTTCCTTCATATATACCACGTTGAACCACTCCTAAAAATAAAGAAATCTCCAGGTTCCTTTAAATGACTTTAATTCTGATATTTGAACTATTCAGTCTGTAGAAATGGAGTCACATGCTTATGGGACAAGGCTGGCCCTGAGAAAGATCCAAATACAGGACAAGATCTGAAATAAAAGCATGATGATGGGAGCCAATGGAAACAGGCAAAATAGAGACAGTCCCAAATTCTGTACTCTAATGCATTTGCCTTTTCTTTCCCAGTCACTGCTAAATGCTTTCAAGTTTTATTTTGCTTTCTCAAAAAAAAAAAAAAAGAATTGGAAGAAAAATAATTAATTTTGTAATATAATCTTTCAAATGGTTTATTTTGATGAATATTTACTCAACATTTTGGTTGACTAATCAGTTTTCAAAATTAAAAACCTCTTAAATCCCTTTTGAAAAGTATTAAAATATAATTTCATATAGATATGATGTGCTTTTCCTTTTACTAAAGTGAAGTTTGAGAAAAATATTTTATTCAGCCACCTCAAATATTAGTCTGCTATGTTTCTCAAAAATTTATGTAAGGATTACCTATATCAGAAATACCTGTGGTGCTTGCTGAATACTCACATACTAGCCATTCAACTACTCAATCAGATATCTGGGAAATAGTTCAGAAATTTTTTTGTTTTTGTTTTTGAGACAGAGTCTTGCTCTGTTGCCAGGCTGGAGTGCAGTGTCATGATTTCAGCTCACTGCAACCTCTGCCTCCTGGGTTCAAGTGATTCCCCTGCTCAGCCTCTTAAGTAGCTGGTACTACTGGCGTGCACCACCACGCCCGGCTAATTTTTTGTATTTTAGTAGAAACAGGGTTTCACCATCTTGGCCAGAATGGTCTCGATCTCTTGACCTCGTGATCTGCCCACTTCAGCCTCCCAAAGTGCTGGGATTACAGACATAAGCCACCGCGCCCGGCCAGAAATTTGCATTTTTGATAAATGATTCAACTCATTCTCATTTAAGTAAATATTTTAGACATAGTTTCCTAAGAAACTCAGAACTGACTTTAATACATTTTGAGGCTGTAGTAGATTGGTGACCCCCACGCACAAAGATATGTCCACTTGAAGCCTACACATGTGACCGTGTGTGGGAAAAAGGTCTTTGCACATGTAATTACATTGAGGATCTTGAGACGAGATGATGCTGGATTACTGTGTGGGCCCTAAATCCAGTAACAAGTGTCCTTATAATTAAAAGAAAAGACAAACACAAAGGAAACGGCAATTTGAAGACAGCAGCACAAATTGAAATCATGGGTCTACAAGATAAGGAACACCAAAAAGTGCCACCAGCCACGAAGAGCTTGAAGAGAAACATGGAATAGAGTCATCCTCAGAGCCTCCAGAAGTAACCAACCCCACAGACACCTGGATTTCAGACTTCTGCCTCCAGAATCATGAAAGAATAAATTTCTGTTGTTTTAAGCCAACTTATTTGTGTATATTTGTTATGGCAGTTCTAGGAAATGAATAAAGTCTTTCAAAATATATAGATAATGCTCATTAATAATATAACTAATAGTCGGTTACATTTGTTCAGCATTAGTGTGCCAGGCGCAACGCCTAGGACAAACAACCATGGCTGTAAGTACATGTCTGGTTAATTTTAACATTAATAGTCTCTTCCACTTCAATATTTCCTGGATCTTGCCTAGGATTCCCTGCCAATAACAGCCTCTTCCCCAAACTGCTCCCTTACTTATTTACTGCCTTTTGTTCTGGGCCAATAAGTTAAGCAAATATTATCCGATGTCTGCCTAACAACTGTACATCGCTTAAGCAGTATAAATTCCAAACTTTCTCTAACAACTGTGCATTGCTTAAGCAGTATAAACTCCAAATTTTTTCTAACAACTGTACATTGTTGAAGCAGTATAAACTCTAATTTTTCACTGAAATATAAATATTTGGCCAGGCACAGTGGCTCATGTCTGCAATCCCAACACTTTGGGAGGCAGAGGTGGGCAGATAACCGGAGATCAGGAGTTCAAGACCAGCCTGGCCAACATGGTGAAATCCCATCTCTACTAAAAATACAAAACTTAGCCAGGCGTGGTGGTGCATGCCTATAATCCCAGCTACTTGGGAGGCTGAGGCAGGAGAATTGCTTGAACCCAGGAGGTAGAAGTTGCAATGAGCCAAGATCACGCCACTACACTCCAGCCTGGGTGACAGAGCGAGACTCTGTCCCACCGACCCCCCCCCAAAAAAAAGCCACAGAAATATAAATATTTAAAAATCATATAACTAACCATGACCTAGAAAAGTCAGCCATTAGTTTATGACCTTGAATTATTTTATTTAATTTATAAAATATGAATATTTGAATTTTGTTTGTGTTACTATACAGTATAATTTGAAGGCGACATATTGAAAAGACTTGTAAATCACTTAAAGACTAAACAAAAATCGATAATATGCCTGATAATTTTTAGACTGCAAAAGCCCATATTTGATACCTGGAAAAAAATTCAAATATATCATTTATCTCCATTTACACCCATATCTCAGGGATACCTATAAGCAAATTTGCTATTCCATTAAGATGACAGAGATTAGAAAACAGTCTGCAGGCGATTTATTCTGCCACATGCTGTTCTGAGTTACATGCTCATGAGATTGCTTTGCAAATACATTAAAATTCACTCATTTCTGCCAATTATTTTCTTGGATTGCTAAATCGTTATCTACATTATTCATATCTGTCTGTATCCCAAGGATGCTACTTGAAATGGCAGAAAGTATAAAGCCCCAAAACAATACAGTACCAAACTTTTATACAGAATTAAAGAGACGAGGCTGTTTGTACCCAGATCTTGCCAAGTTGTCCCAAGGGCTGAATTGATTAAGATGGTAGCTGACTTGTTACCTCTTTATGACATACCAGTGGGACATGATCCACCAGTTAAGGAGTTATGGTATAGATCATATTTGGCATTGTATTAATATATTGTCACTTAAAGAGAAAATCTTCTCCTAAAAGAAGAAATCACCACGAAGATGATGGTAAGGGGGCAGGTGGCCAAATTCATTCAAAGATAAAAAGCACCAAAAGGACACATGTTTCGTGTTAGCAAGGCATTGGGTGCTGTCACTGAAATGGTTTTTGAATCCAACATGTGGAACTTTGTCCAGATTCCTAGATAGGGTGCCAAGAATAAGACAGCTTTGTTGAAGCCCAAAAGAGGAGTTGGTTGGGTCAAGAGTGGGACACCAAGGCGAAACACTCACTTCCAACTCTAGTTACAGAGGCACTAGGCAGGAGTCATGATGAGAGAATCCAGCTGGAACACTAGTAAGACCCTCCTCCCCGGTCCTCCGGGAGGAGGCTGGCAGCAACATTGAGGAAGGAAATGGTCAGAGAGAAGAGGGTCCTCCGAGAGGAGGCTGGCAGCAACATTGAGGAAGGAATTGGTCAGAGTGAAGGGAAAAGCCTGAGGAGGGAAGGGAGGCAAAGAACTTCGCTGGTATTATCAACAGAAATAAGGATTACACAGCTTAGTCCCACCCTGATTTCACATGTAGATATCAAAGAGCATGTGTATGTACATTCTTCATTATGGCAATTTCCCATAATTATTTGTGTCATGACTAAAGAAATGAATAGCAATTAAGTCGTTCTATTTATAACATAGTATACTGCTTAAACTTCTGTGAAGTTGCTAATAGTTTCATTTAATTAAATATGCAATCTTGATTATAACTATCAACCCTGAAAGATGTCTAAGATATGAAATGTATGTCAGCATCAAAAATGTTTCTGGAAATCTAAAACCGTTTTCATTTTCTGGCTTGTGCAAGTGTCTGATTCAGAATTTTTTTTAATTGCTACTACACGGAACAGCAAATCATAATTCCCGATATTATTTTTTCTTATATGTTTGAACATTAATTAGCAGGCGGTCCATATCTGTGCAGGTGCATATGTTTGTGTATGTGAATCTGTATAACCAGGACCTAATAGGCTGATTTAGAATTTTCTAAATATAGTCTCCATGAATAAATTATATATAATAATGTGCCAATTTTTGTAATTTTAAACTTGTTACTTGCGATTTTTAGCACAGAGTAAAATTTAAAACAAGAGATTTAACAGAACTTGACAATAGAATTTATTGTTAGCTATTATTGTTTTGTGCCAATAGTAATAAACCTAAGCATAATTCAGGATAGTAAATGATAGTTTAAAAATAAAAAAGATAATATGTAAAATTACTTTAAATGGCAAAACTCATTTTTTCTCTACGATGCACAATTATACATATTTCTAACAAAAATTTTTAATATGGATCCTTCATTTTAAAATTAAAGATGGTTTAGAGACAAGTTTGTTTCCAGAACAGAGCTCTCAAATACTTGGTCCTATTCACAGAAGTCTTGTAAGAAAGTTTCTGGGTTATTTTTAAGAACAAACTGCTTACTTTTTCAGTAATCTTATTTCCTTAAGAACTAGCAAGATACATAAGAAATAATGGTCCTTGGCCAGGCGTGGTGGCTCATGCCTGTAATCCCAGCACTTTGGAGGCCACAGCAGGTGGATCCATCTCTACTAAAAATACCAAAAAAAAAAAAAAAAAAATAGCCAGGCATCATGGCGCATGCCTGTAATCCCAGCTACTCAGGAGACTGAGGCAGGAAATCACTTAAACCTGGGACGCAGAGATTGCGGTGAGCCTCACTGCTCTCCAACCTGGGCGACAGAGTGAGACTCTGTCTCAAAAAAAGAAAGAAAAAATTAAAAGAAAGAATGGTTTAATCATAGAACATATGCTAGCTAGACAATACATTCAGTGTATGATTTCTTTTCCTAAATATTTGGAGAACTCCCCCATGTACTTATGAAGGTGACTGCACACACATCGTTGAATGAATTTTCATGCTGTACTTTATTCTTTTCCACATTTTAGTCATCCATAGATCATCAGATATTTGGGGCTGGCTTTGTTCTCTTTTACCCTTATTACCTGCATTGTGAATTCTCTATTTTTTTTTTTTTTTTTTTTTTTTTTTACTGTTGCTCCTTTTTCTCTTTTGATAACATGTTTGGTTTAAGGGGTGAGGGAATAACTCCCGTTAAACTCAGTGGTGGCCTATGTTAAATGAGTTTGAGATGCCAGAGCTTCCCTGGCATGAACTGGAGGAGGAATAGAGATATTATTCAGAGATAACTGAGTTCAGTTAACTCAGTAAATATGTATTGAATTATTATGTGCAAGACAATTTTGAAACCTCTGTAATGGTACAAAGTAGATGGCATTCAAGCTGTACACATTTCTAGTGATAACTTGCAAATTGGTCTTGCTAAACAGTCATTAACCAGGTGTGTAGCTATATGGAAATTACTAGGTACCATGTTGATTTTTCTCAGTAAAAATATTACATCTGGAAAACCTGCCAGCACTAGAGTGACCACATTGCATATTTAATTACAATTTCATCTATTGTAAATTGATGAAATTTACAATAATTCACAGTTACTGACAGTTATTGTAAAAGATCCACCTAACTTCTGCACAGACCAAACAGGTGAATGAAATGAGATGTGATAGAAGTGTAAAGACATTTTCTTGATGCCAGGCTCATAGCTATATAGAAATTACTAGGTACCATGTTGACTTTTCCCAGTAAAAATAATACATCTGGAAAAACTGCCAGCACTCGAGTGACCACTGATGAAATTTACAATAGTTCACAGTTACTAACAGTTATTGTAAAAGATCCACCTAACTTCTGCACAGACCAAACAGGTTAATTAAATGAGGTGTGATAGAAGTGTAAAGACTTTTTTCAAGTCTTTGATAATGGCATTGACATCTTCAGTTCCCCCAAAGATGCAGTATTGCTTCTGGTTTGCTATTGGGGTAGAGTTAAGTGAAATTCCAGGGGCTTGCATTTGGCCCTTCCTACCATAATGGCCCTCATCCTATGGATTAATGTGCTGGTGTGGTTATTTTACAATTATTGAAATTACACATTCAGCAACTGAAAAAAATAATCACAGGCTGGGTCCATGGAACCACTAAGCCCATCCTAAGTAAGAAATGAAGTAAGATTCCATCTATCTTCTGGCCACTGTAAACTCCTATTTTAACTGATAGCTCGGAATTTGGAGGGTCTCCAGGAACCAAAAATTAGTGACAGTTCAAAGACAGTAACCCCAAAAGCACTGGGTATTTCCTATTCCTCAGGGCACAGTCACTCTAGTAAAATCTAGATGTGCCTTTGGGGAAGGCTTGAAGGAAGAGTTTTGGTATGTGTGGTATAAAATGGTAAGGAGGCACAAGCTAGGCTTCAACCACAGAGTTCTGTGCCATTGAATTGACTTTGGTCTGGAAATTGGGCAAGAGTCAGAACTCTCCACTGTGGTGACTCAAGCTGCTTTTGGCTACTGGTTCTTCAGATTTTTTTTTTAATTATAACATTAATTTTTTTTCCTAAAAAAAATCACATTAATACATGTGTGATAGGGTTGGCTGCTGGGAGAAAATCTGGCTAGTCTAGGAAAATTCTTCTTTGTGGGAATGTTTACAACGAGGGTGCTGCAAGACCTTTGTGTACAAGTAGGTGACCCATCTGGGATCACTGGTTTGACAAATGAAGCTATACTCCAGTGGGCTACCTATCTATTTGTTCTCATGGACACTGTGACCAATTAGCAACTGCCCCAAATCCCTTTAAGCTAAGGCATTGTGATTACTGGCATGTCTCTGCCTACACAGTGAGTCCACTTTGTCTTTGGTGGTTAATAACTGTCACTTGGCTTTGACTACCCTGGAATTTCCATTATCACAGCTGAAATCAGCAAACACATATCAATGGTGATATCCCCTATAGTCTGGAGGACAAAAGATCTGAGATCCAGACCCATCATTTCAAAGACTAAGGTACTATCCTCACCAATGTATTTCCCAATGCCTTAGTAGAGTATCTTCTAGGTCATCTCACAGAACCTTGTAGGAGATACACATGTAGGTATCACTTGACAAATCCACTCCCATATCTCTATTCCTTCTCCAATTCATGCCAGGGAAGCTCTGGCATCTCAAACTCATTTAACACAGAACACCACTGAGTATAAGTTTCAGGAAACCAACCAAGTAAGCTATTGGAGTCAACTCAAGTTGCACAAGATAACATCCTATATCTGGACTCTCTAATAAGTACAGTCGTATCAATGAATTCAGCCTTACTGATTGTTACATTCTGGCCTCTTTAGTCTAGTACCCTTCAGATCTATTCTTACAATGTTCCCCAGATTTCAGAATATATGTAATAGCAAAGTCTTGCACATTATTTTTGTATGTAAACTATCTACCCCTGGGTTATAGTCTGTACCTGTTACCCTGGAGTATGCTGAAATTTCCCCCCTTGCAATGGGTCTAGGAACAACCTGAACTGCCTGTCTTAACTCATGAGAAGAATGAGCATCCATTTTCAAAGCCCCTGCTCCTGGTGAGGTTATCACAAAATTTTCAAGCAAAGATGGGGTAGTCACCTCAGACACAGGAGGAGGCAGTTTTGTTCAAGTGGTAAGGAAGGCTCAGAATGACTTAGGGGTTCAATACAGCCAGTTTCATGTGGGTCCAAGTATATGTACACATTCCAAGTTCATTCAGGATTCTATTCTTTCCCAATTAGTAACCTAACTTTCAAACAAAAATTTGGCAAGAAGTGAATTAATTGGCAATAAAATTCAAAAACCAAAAGCAATTTAATTTTGTTTTTAGTTTTAGCAGTATCAGCCCTCTAGCTAGAGTAACTATTACTTATGGCCATCATAGAAGCTCCCTGGTTCTCAGTCTGTGGCTTTAGCTGAGAGTTCAAGCGCTGAGCTCATTGTTTTCATTCAGTAAGCACTCCAGTGTGCTCTAGGAGAAATTGTTCCAAATCATACATCTTGTAGCCATCATTGCTGCTATAATGTTCAATGCAATAGCACTGTCAGTTTGCTACGCACCTGCTTCAGTTGGCTTTCATCATAGTCAACCATAGGTGTTAGGCTGATTCTGCATGCAGTAGATTTCTGGCATCCCAGTTTCCATACACAAAGAGCTCAACACTGTGTTCAAATCCTAGAGCATGACCAAACCAATCCCAAATTCCAATCTTTTTAAATATGGCTCCTGAGACCAATCTAGTAGTAATTCTGTATCAGTGAGGATCCAATCAGAAGACAAAAACCCTCATAGTAATTTGACCAGTAAGTGTTCACCATAAAGAATTATGAACAAGAAATTAACTATTAATATGAAAAGGTAAAAACTAACTCTAAAAATATACCAATAGTGGACACAGGAGGAATATATAGGGCTAAGGCAAAGCACTCAATAAAGGAACAAACGTGGAAGTCCAACCCCCTCATGACTGAGATCCAGACCTCACTGGAGAGGGCGCAGCCATGACCTTCATGGATGATGAAAAAGTCTAGCACAAGAGAAGAAAACCACCTTTTGGGGGACAAAGCAGAACACACTGAGGACGGCAACAGTCTCAACGTATCTCTAGAAAATTGTCCTCAAGCATTGCCAAAGAAACTCTTTAGGAAGCTACTTGCAATGGTATTGCCACTCAAACGTGCCAGGGATGAGTGTCACTGGATGTCCCACATACTAACCAAGTGCTACAGGAGCAAGCACAGAGGATCACACTGGATCCAGAACAAAGTCCCTTCTTCCTGCAATGTCCCTCCAGCACCTTATACTAACAGTGCTTAGCATCATGCCTGCTGGTAAGTGACAAATATTTACATGGTCCACATCCAATATTATAAGCCACAAAATGATGGGTAGATTGAAACTAAGAGGCAAGAAGTGTAACTAAAACAATATGCTTCCCTTTCCCGGTGATAACAGTACTAGGATAAAATGTCACTTCCTATCTTTAAGTTAACTAATACCGAGACCAAGTAAAATAAGCTAGTTGTATGCTCCAGGAATTACCTGCTCCCAGATGATAAGACTGTGAGCAAATACACATGGTACTTACCAAGAGTAACAACTTACTCACCAAGAATTGTTTTGACAGCCTCACTTCTCAGCAACAACCAATTCCAAAGTTACAGCTTCAGTAGAAACTGTCAATTCCAATTCCTTTCCTATTCTGTAAGCTCCACCTTAAAACCACCCAGTTCATGGCCTAAAACTTAAAAAATATGCTCCCCCTGACTTTTATCTTTTGAGCTTTTGCTAAGACTCTCTCAAAACAGAGTTTTTCCTTATTGCAAAAGGCTTAATAAACTTAGCTTGTCTCAATCCCACGTTTTTCTGGTAGTCCTTGGGGACTTTAAGTCAACAACAGAATTCATAAGCCAATCAGAAGCTGTAGAACCTGTGCTTTAAACGGCTAAAGCTCTGGGACTAATGTAAAAGGTATTTATTTGAAGGCAGAAATGCCTCTTTGCACATTATGTTTGCCATCTGAGAACATCTTTTTCTTGCAATGTATTTATTACTGGGCTGACGACTAATAACCACGTACTTGTTCAAGCAGTTTTGGAGAGAATATGAGGAATCTGTTTGAATGAAAGGATTCTGTGACATACTGGGAATGAATAGTGCTTTTAAAAATCTTACATACTGTATTCAGTAGAGAATTGGAGTCAAGGAAATTCTGTACTCTGCCTAGAATCTAACTCTGCTCTGTCACCTGAACAACTGAGACCAACAGAAGATGGAGCCCTGGGGCTGGACATCAGCCCTCTCCGGGTCAGCAACATCTCACCAGACATAACAGCAAGGCCCTTTCATGAAGCTTAGAGGCAGGTACAAAATAGATGGGGGCTGAATAGTAGATCTGCTAATCAAGGTAAACAATGAAAGGGAAAGTAAAGAGAAGAGATAAATTGTTTATATTTAAAAGGCAGGCAAATAAGCACATGAAAAGATGTTCAACCTCATTAGCCATAAGGGAAATGCAAAGTAAAGGCACAATGCAATATCAGTACACAACTCTCAGAACAGCCAAAGTGAAAAATTGGAGCAGCAGGAAATGATGGCGAGGATGCAGAGAAACGGAATCGCTCATACATAGCTGGCAAGAAGGTAAATGGTGCAGCCACTATGGAAAATAATTTGGTAGTTTCTTTTACAACCAAACACATAATTACCATAAGACCCAGCAACTCTCTCCTCTTGGGTATTTAGCCTAGGTTAATAAAAACTACGTCCACCCAAAAACCTGTAAACAAACGATCATAGCAGCTTTCTTTTTTGTTGTTGTTATTTTTTATTTCCACAGGTTTTGGGGGGAACAGGTGGTGTTTGGTTACATGAGTAAGTTCTTTAGTGGCAATTTGTGAGATTGTGGTGCACCCATCACCCGAGCAGTATATACTGAACCCAATTTTTGGTTTTTTATCTCTCACCCCCCTCACACCCTTTCCCCTGAGTCCCCAAAATCCACTGTATCATTCTTATGCCTTTGCATCCTCATAGCTTAGCTCCCACTTATGAGTGAGAACATACAACGTTTGGTTTTTTACTCCTGAGTTACTTCAGTTAGAATAATGTCTCCAGTTCTATACAGGTTGCTGTGAATGCCATCATTTTGTTCCTTTTTATGGCTGAATAGTATTCCATGGTGTGTATATATGTGTGTGTATATGTGTGTGTGGGTGTCTGTGTGTGTGTATATATATATATATACACACACACACACATTTTATATATATATATATACACATACTGCAATTTCTTTATCCACTCATTGATTGATGGGCATTTGGGCTGGTTCCATATTTTTGCAATTGCAAACTGTGCTGCTATAAACATGGGTGTGCAAGTATATTTTCATATAATGACTTCTTTTCCTCTGAGTAGATACCCAGTAGTGGGATTGCTGGATCAAATGGTAGTTCCAATACAAAAACTGGAAACAATCCAGATGATCTTTAACCACTGAATGGCACCCAAAAAAACTATGGTACTCAACAATAGAAATGAATAAACTAAATATATATGATCACTTAGATGAATCTCAAGGGAATTATGCTGAGTTTTTTTTTAAAGCCACTCTCAAATGGTCACTTACTGTATGATTCCAGTTATATAGTGTTCTTGAAATGAGAAAATAATTGAAATGGAGAACAAAGTAGTGGTTGCCAGGGGTCAGAAGTGGTGGAAGGGATAGGGGTATGGCTATGAAAGGGCAACACCAGGGATCCTCATGGTGATGGAAACATTCTACACCTTGGTGTTCCAATGAGCTGGTGATATGGTTTGGCTGTGTCCCCACCCAAATCTCATCTTGAATTGTAGCTCCCATGATTCCCATGTGTTGTGGGAGGGACCTAATGGAAGATAATTGAATCACGGGGGCGGTTTCCCCCATACTGGTCTCATGGTAGTGAATAACTTTCAGGAGATTTGATGGTTTTATAAGGGGAGACCCCTTTCATTTGGTTCTCATTCTCTTTTGCCTGCTGCAAGGTAAGATGTGACTTTGCTCCTCCTTTGCCTTTTGTCATGATTGTGAGGCCTCCCCAGCCACATGGAACTATGAGTCCATTTAACCTCTTTTTCTTTACAAATTACCCAGTCTTGGGTATATCTTTAGCAACATGAGTACAGACTAATACAGCTGGTCTATGCAAACCTACCCGCAAAGGCCAAGGGAGCTAAGAGGCCAAAGAAAGAGGTTGACAAATCTAGTTTCTCAGAAATAAACATTTAATAGGAACTTAATAAGAGAAGCAAGTCTCTGGTGGCCAAGAAATGGTGGATCTCTGTACTCGCCCCCAGAAAACATCCTTCTATATAGTGAGCTTTTCTGGTAAAACACGTGCAGTTAGTCATGTACCAGATGCTCTTACAAAATTTGTTACCACCGGGGAAGTTAGATAAGCATCTTTTTGAGGAGTAATTTATACTACAGGCATTGGTTCTTGACTTTGCTGTGATCACCTTGGCATGCAGGAGTCAAACATCGGCTATCATGTTTTTGCATACGTATAGTGTCCCTCTTTCCACGGGCCAGGCCGTTTTCCTACACTTGGCTGTATCAATCAATATCCTGGTGGTGATACTGTATTCTAGTTGGTAAAATGTTACCACTGGGGGGAACTGGGTGAAGGGCATATGGAATCTGTATTATTTCTTATAACTACATGTGAATCTATAATTATCTCAAAATTAAAAGTTTGATTAGAAAAAAATTAAAAGGCAAGAAGCCACTAAAAGAAAGGAAGATACTGTTCTTCAGTCATTTTTCCCTCAATGCAAGGGAAGCCTGTGTGGGCTAAGGCTTTGTTGCTTGTTTATTCTTTTCTTGTTTGAAGACATAAAAGTGGGAGATGGGCTAAGAGAGAAGATAAGTGAAGAGGATTGTTAGGGCTTCCGCCTGTGTGTTATGTCTCTCTCTGCCACCTCAGAGATTTCTGTAATAACTTATTTTTCAAGGCCTTTTAAAATTAGATGTGGGTTTGTTTGAAATTCAACACCACGGAGAGGTTACATGAAAACGGAGTACTATGCTTCACCACGACAGAGTCTAACAAGCTGAAGTTACAGAAGGACCCAGCACTTGCACTGACTCTAATATACCAGACTCCCATTGGACCTAAGAAGACTCTTTCTTGATGAAAGAACAATAGCTTTTGTTTTGAAAAGGATTTATTTTAACCAATTATGTACAGATCTGTGGATTCGTTTGTCCTACCTTAGGGAGTAAACTTTCAATCTTTAATTAGCAGATCCATCACAAACTGCTTTTTTACCACTTAAAACTGAAACTTTGCCCCTTCAGCAAATTATTTAGTGAATTTCTCCACTGGTGTGTGTGTCTGTGGTGCTGTGTCTGTGTCTCTGTATGTGTGTGTCTGTGAGTCTGTGTCTGTGTACATATATGTGCCTGTGTGTATACATGTATGTGTCCACGTGCATGTGTTGAGTCTCTGTGTCTGTGAGTCTGTGTATGTGTCTCTGTTGTATCTCTGTGTGGGGGTGTGTGTGTGTCTATGTGTATATTCACCTTTATGTGCATGTTTCCTAGCCTGACAGGTAAACAAACTTGGTGTAGAAAAAGTTTAAATGCTTTTGTCTTTTTAAAATCATTGTCAAGCTCTAGAATGCAAACTAGAAGGTCCAGTTTTATTTTGGTTAGATATGTAGTTACTAGATAAAAAGTGGTGGTAAAAGGGAATGATAGGACAAAGGGAAATGGATTGTATTAAATTTGAATGTAGAGGGAAATTTAATAAATATTTAAGATATCCAATGTTCCAAACTTCATTTAAATAAAGTTTCAAAACAAAAACTCCTATAACGATAAATAACATCACTGGTCTTGACTATTGCATCTTTCATTCATTGCTAATCTTTTGGGCTATATTAAATATATACTCCTTAATTTCACTCTTCTTAAAAATCAAACTGATCTCAGCTGCACATTATTAAGAGAGCTTTTTATTCCTTTTGCAGTTTCCAGAGAATTGTTTTTCTTTTAATGAGAGTAAGTAATTATTGCTAAACAGTGACATTAGAAATACATAACTTTGCTTAATGAAAGAATATGTAAAAATATTTATTTCACTTTGGAACTTGTAAAGTGATTTGCAAGTCTCATATAAAACGATGCCTTACAAATACAGAATGCAAAAATTAATCCATCAGTTTCATAGACAAACTAATGCCGTAGCAGAAAACTTCCAGAAATTCTGGGAACATTTTACCTCATATACAGATTGAACTGGGTGACAGAAAACTCATTTAGAAAACTCATTTTTATTCCTAAATGCACACTGCACTAGGTTCATTTCTACAGGCATTTATTGAGCTCTAACTGTGTTTTAAAAAAATAAAGGAGAAGGAGTATAAATTTAATATATTCTTCCTGCCTGCAAGGAGTTTACATGTTAGTTATGCTATTTCTGCCTTCCAAAAAATCCAAGCATAAACCGGTCTCCATTCTCTTCTGAGAAATGAGAAAGACAGGTAATGGTGGCTGAATTAAACTAGAGTTTCAATTTGCATCACAACCTTGTGAGAGTGAAAGAAAATATTTCAGGAAAAATATTGTCTACTTCAAACTCATTTACCCAGCCTGACCCTGATTACCACATACCCCTCATACATTTTGTCCAAATCATTTATATTTACTCTTCAAGACACACACAGCAGGTACCATATTTCATCAAATCAAAGACACAATTAACTGTAATATTCACTATTATTTTATGTTATATTTAAAAACAAAAATACTGCCAGTTGAACCATGATGCACCATTAAATTTAATACCATGCCTCAACTTTAAGATGTATTCTGGTTTTGGAGATGGTAAAATATTTTCCAGAAAATGTGTGTATTAGAATCCATAAAATACAACATTCCTGTTGGGAGCAGGCCCCCCAAAATCTGGCCATAAACTGGTCCCAAAACTGGCCATAAATAAAATCTCTGCAGCACTGTAACATGTTCATAATGGCCCTAACGACCAAGCTGGAAGCTTGTGGGTTTAAGGGAATGAGGGCAAGGAACACCTGGTCTGCCCAGGGTGGAAAACCCCTTAAAGGCATTCTTAAGCCACAAACAATAGCATGAGCGATCTGTGCCTTAAGGACATGCTTCTGCTGCAGTTAACCAGCCCAACCTATTCCTTTAATTCGGCCCATCCCTTCGTTTCACATAAGGGATACTTTTAATTAATTTAATATCTATAGAAACAATGCTAATGACTGGTTTGCTGTTAATAAATATATGGATAAATCTCTGTTCAGGGCTCTCAGCTCTGAAGGCTGTGAGACCCCTGATTTCCCACTTCATACCTCTATATTTCTGTGTGTGTGTCTTTAATTCCTCTAGCGCCACTGGGTTAGAGTCTCCCAGATCGAGCTGGTCTCGGCAATTCCTTACACGTTAGATATAACAATAAAATACTGCTTATTCACGGAGCTGTGTCCATCTTCTGCACAACTATGCCATAAACTCCTAAGCTTTTCAAATAAGATAATTTAGGTGGAAAAAAACAACAAGGAATCAAGAGCATAGAATAAGACCTCAGCCATACCACTGGGGCAATTAACAACCTTCTTCAGACTCATTTCATCTCTAATATGAGAATATTGATCATTAAAAGTAATAGCAAGGAAATACAGTACATAATGTTCACAATGATTATAATAGAATAAAAATCCAGTTTACTTTTTTAGTAAAATAAAATTAGATTCTGAAATTCACTTCACATCCAATATTACTTTCTGTTAATATTTGTCTTGATCCTTTAGGCTTCATGTATTAGTCTAAATCACTTACCAGTATGTAAAATATGTACTTACTATATATTAACCAGTATTAAAATTTAAACTATTTCAATAGCCTGCCTCAATATAAACAGCTTTGCTACCAAAAATCTATATGTTACCCCAAAGAAACACCACATCCTGACCATAATTTTTCATGAATAATGTTGCTCTTTCTCTCCTAGTGTTAAGAACCAAATACATTCTCATTAAATCAATTCATTCAAATTCAAAAGTTCTACTTTTTCGATGTCTCTGCAGAACAAACAGAAAAGAAACAAAGGTCATCTCTGACTCCGCAGTATATAAATCTAGAATTCTCAGGGCTATTATTTGCTATCCCCATTGTACAATACATTTTTAATACATTTTTCTTTAATCTCTATTCCCAAAATTAACATATTTTCGACTCAATTATCACATCAATCCCTGACATACCATGGAATTCGCTATTCCAAGTATTTGCACATATATTGTCACTTTGATGACATATGCTGTTTAACTCTTGTCAACTCTATTTTATGGAAGCTCCATGAAACTTTGCCCTGTCTTCTTTACCTTACTTGGGAAAACAGTAAACAGAGATTGGCACATTGCCTGCCTTACTCTTTTATAGTTCAGATAAAATAAAATGGATGACTGAGCAATAAATATAATGACAATAATTTTCATCTCTGAGCAATTTTCCATTTCACTCTGATTTTTTAAAGATTTACTCTTTATTCACTGAGCCATAGCCAAAGGCACTTGAATTTATAGCTACTTATTTTATAGCTGATTCTCACCCACCAAGAATCACTGTTTTCTGATGACATATCATGTACCAAGCACCACATGAAATGCTCTGGTTCAGTTACTTCATTCAGTCCTCACAATAACCCAGGATGTAGTTATTATAAGCTCCATTTTGTGAATGAGAAAACTAGATGTATTAGTCAGTTCTCACACTGCTAATAAAGACACACTCAAGACTGGGTAATTTATAAAGAGGTTTAGTTGACTCACAATTCCACATGGCTGGGAAGGCCTCACAATTATGGCTGAAGATGAATGAGGAGCAAAGTCACGTCTTACATGGTGGAAGGTAAGAGTGCTTGTGCAGGGGAACTCCCATTTATAAAACTATAAGATCTTCTGAGACTTATTCACCACAAGAACAGTATGGGGGAAACTGCCCCCATGAGTCAATTATCTCCCTCTGGCCCCACCCTTGACATGTGGGATTATTACAATTCAAGGTGAGATTTGGGTGAGGACATAGCCAAACCTTATCACTAGATCTCAGAAAAATCAAAAAATTTTATTCAAGGCCACGCTACTTCTTAATGAACTACAATTCTGATGTGCCCATTCACACTATATCATTTTCACTCTACTTCCTATCCACAAGAACATCAACAATTAATGAGTAAATGTATCCTTAACTCTTGTACCAATATATTCAGAGAAGTTTTAGGTTCACAGCAAAATTTAGCAAAAATTACAAATTCTCATATGCACTCCCTGCCCCCACACATATATTTCCTGTACATTATCAATAGCTCCCATGAGAATGATACATTTGTTACAACTGGTGAACCTATACTGACACATCATAATTACCCAAAGTACATAGGTTACATTGGGGTTCACTCTTAGTGACATGTATTCATCATTATAGTATCATACAGAGTTTTCCAGTGCCCTAAAATTGCTCCATGGTCTACCTATTAATCCTTCACCCCACTCCACCAAAATCCCTGCAACCCCTCATCTTTTTGCTGTCTATACACTTTGGCCCTTTCCAGAATGTCATACAGTTGGAATTGGGCTGTATGTAGCCATTTTCAGATTGGCTTTTTTCATGTAGTAAAACACATTGAAGTTTCCTCCATGTCTTTTCACCATTTGATAGTTTATTTTTAGCACTGAATAATATTCCATTATCTACATGTACCACATTTCACCCACTGAGGAACAACTTGGTTGCTCTGGAGTTTTGGCAATTGTAAATAAATCTGCTATAAACATCCATGTGCAGGTTTTTGTACATACATAAGTTTTCAACTAAATTGGGTAAAAGCAGGGAGTATGACTGCTGGATAGTGTAAGAGTATGCTTAGTTTTGTAAGAAATTGACAAACTGTCTTCCAGAGTAGCTGCACTATTTTGCATTCCCACCAGCAATTAATGAGAGCTGTTGGTCCACACCCTCACCAGCATTTAGTGTGGGTCAGTGTTCTGGATTCTGTTTATTCTAATATGTCTGTAGTAGTATCTCACTTCTGTTTTAATTTTTATTTCCCTCATGACATATGATGTTGAGCAACTTTTCACATGTTTATTTGTCATCTGTATGCCTTCTTTGTTGAAGTCTCTGGTAAGGTCTTTGGCCCACTTTTAATCAGGTTTGTTGTGTTCTTATTGTAGATTCTCAAGAGTTCTTTGTATATTTTGGATAACAGTCCTTTATCAGATGTGTCTTTTGCAAATATTCAAATATTTTCTCCCAGTCTGAGGCTTGTTTTCTCATTCTCTTGACATCATCTTTTTCAGAGAAGGGCTTTTAAATTGTAGTGAAGTCTAGGTTATCAGTTATGTTTTTCATATATTGTGCCTTTGGTGTACCATCTAAAAAGTCATAACCACACCCATAGTTATCTAGATCTTCTCCTGTATTATGTACTATGAGTTTCATAGTTTTTGCCTTTTTTTTTTTAATGGAATCTTGCTCTTGTTGCCCAGGCTGGAATACAATGGCATGATTTTGGCTCACTGCAATCTCCACCTCCTGGGTTCAAGAGATTCTCCTGCCTCAGCCTCACGAGTAGTTGGGATTACAGGAGCCTGCCACCATACCCAGCCAATTTTTCTATTTTTAGTAGAGACAGCATTTCACCATATTGGCCAGGCTGGTCTCGAACTCTTGACCTAGTGATCCGACCACCTTGGCCTCCCAAAGTGCTGGGATTATAGGCATGAGTCACTGCACCCAGCCAGTTTTTGCATTTTGCACTTACGTCTATGATCCACTTTGAGTTGATTTTTGTGAAGGATGTAAGATCTGTTTCTAGACTCATTTTTCCACATGTGGATGTCCAGTTGTTCTAGTACCATTTGTTGAAAAGACTATCTTTGCTCCTTTGTATTGTCTTTGCTCATTCACCAAAGATCAGTTGACAATGTTTATGTGGGTCTATTTCTGGGGTCCCCATTCTATTCCATTGATCCATTTGTCTGTTCTTTTACAACATCACACTGCCTTATTGTGGCTTTATAGAAAGTCTTGAGGTCAGGTAGTGTCAGTCCTCCAACTTCGTTCTTCTCCTTCAATATTGTGTTGACTATTCTGGATCTTCTGCCTCTCCATGTAAACTTTAGAATTGGTTGATGTTTACAAAATAACTTCATAAGATTTTTACTGAGATTGCATTGAATCTACAGGCTGAATTAGAAGAACTGACATTTTGACAATATTGAGTATTCCTATCCATGAACATGGAGTATCTCTCCATTAATTTAGTTCTTTGATTTATTTCATCAGAGTTTTATAGTTTTTCTTATATAGAGCTGTACATATTTTGTTAGATTTTTATCTAAGTATTTCACTTTTGGTGCTGATTTAAATGGTATTGTGCTTTTCATTTTAAATCCCATTTGTTCATGGCTGACATATATGAAAGCAATTAAGTTTTGTATGTTAACCTTGCGTCCTACATCCTTGCCATAATTGATTATTAGTTCCAGGTGTTTTGTGTTTGTTGATTCTTTTGGATTTCCTACATAGATGATCATATCACTTGCAAACAAAAACAGTGGTATTTCTTCCCAAGCTATATGTCTTTTCTTTCCTTTTATTGTATTATTGCCTTAGCTATGACTCCCAGGACAATGTTGAAAAGGAGAGGTGAGAGAGAAAATAATTGCTTTGCTCCTGATCTTGCTAGGAAAGCTTCTAGTTTCTCTTCATTAAGTATGATGTTAGCTGTAGGTTTTTTAGAGATATTCTTTATCAAGTTGAGGAAATTCCTCTCTATTCCTAATTTATTTCGAGTTTTAATCATGAATTGATGTTGGATTTTGTCAGATGCATTTTCTGCATCTATTGAGATGACAATATGATTTTTGTTTTTTAGCATATTGAAATCATTAATTGATTTTCAAATGTTCAACCAACGGTGCATACCTGAGATAAATCCCACTTGGTTAGAGTATATATCTTTTTATATATTGTTGGATTCAATTTGATATTTTGTTGAGGATTTGCAACTATGTTCACAATAAATATTGGTCTGTAGTTTTCTTGTAATTTGTGTTTTTGGTATTAGAGTGATGCTAGCTAGCCTCATAGAATGAAGAAGTATTTCCTCTTGTTCTATCCTCTGAAAGATGTTGTAGAGAATTGGTATATTTTCCTCAAATGTTTGGTAAAATTCACTAGTGTACTTATCTGGGCCTGGTGCTTTCTGTTTTGGAAGACTATTAATTGATTCAATTTTTTAAACAGATATAGGCATATTCAGGTTGTCTACTTCTTTTCATATAAATATCATGTGTCTTTCAAGGAATTGGTCCATTTCATCTAGGTTATTAAATTTATGGGCATAGAATTGCTCGTAGTATTCCTTTATTATCCTTTAAATGTCCATGGAATCTGCAATTATGTCCCCTTTTTGTTTCTGGTATTAGCAATTTGTGTCTCGTTTTCTCTTAGACAGTAATACACTGTCTCCATTTAGGCCAGCAGCCTGAGTTCCAGACCAATATTGCTAAATATCTTCTGAACATCTCTAGTTGGATATGTCACAAGATGTATCTAATTTTTTCCAGTACTCAATTCAGCATCTCTACTTCTCTTCCAAATGTAATTACTCCTCCTCCAGTGTTTACTTTCTAAGAAGAAACCAGTGTTCACCCAGTTGCTCAATGTAGAACCTATGATTCATTCTTTCACTTCCTTTTCTGTCACTCCACACATCCAGAACTTATCCATCTACCTTCTCATTGCTAAAATTTTTCTTCTTCTTTCCCTTCTCACCATTCTTACCTTATTCCAAGGAAGATTACTGCTGCTACGACTAGAAAAACAGTCTGAAAATTGGTCTACCTAACCACTGTATCCACTTCAATTCATTCTTAATTCTAAGCAAGGTGATCTTTTTTAAAGGCAAAGTGATCACTTAATAAGCTTCTTTCAATGATTTTCAACTACATTTATGTCAAAGTTTAAAATCCTCGATATCGCTTAAAAGAATCCTTCTTGATCTTCTTGCACTTGTTCAAGCTTCATTTTGCTGGTCATTTTTCCAATTGCTCCAGAGAAACTGACTTTTTTTAATTGAAGGGAAACAAAAATATTTCTAAAACACAAACATCATGACATACATATCAAAGAACTTTATCTTTAAATGTCACAGACCTATTCATGAAAAAGACACTGACATTGAGAAGAAAAAATTTTAAAAAATTGATTAAAAATCACATGGCTAAAGGCAGTATAATTGTTTGGAATTGTTTGGCTTATCAAAATTCCTGAAGGCAAAATCACTATATTTCCTAAGAGAAATTGATTTAAGGTCTGCCTTATAATTTGCAATGGCCTTTTTTGCATATCTAATGTTAATTTTAATCCAGTTTTGTTTACTCACCTAGACATAAACATGACTTAAGAGTCACTTGAGGACATTGAAATTTCTGTGTTTATTTCACTTTACATGATATTTATGTTGTAATGTTAATTTACAGTTTTCAAAAGTAAATATGCAGCAGCTGTTTTCCTATTTTCTTCTACTATAGATAGGTAGCCAGAAAGGCAGAATAGAATATATTAATTTTCACTTTACAGAGATCATGATATTATCCTAAATGATGTACAAGAACAATGCTCACATTGGTCATTGAAAACTTATTATTTCATTGTCATAGACATTTTAACATGACCTCTTACATTATATAAATCTGTGCTATGTGTAAGGGTTTCAGGAGATGATAATCCACAGTGATATTATCCAAAAACAAGCCACCAAGTTAATATTAAATTATTCTAAATACAAGGACATTGAAATATACTAACCAAGTATATTATCTAAATAATAGTCATTGAACATATAGGAAAAATATATCTGAAAACATGATAGCATATTATTTTACAGCACTCTTACACACATTATAGCAATAACAGCAAGACAAATATCATTCAATTCTACTTATATGAAGTATCTAAAATAATAAAATTTATGGGATTACAGTGGAATGGTGGCTGCTAGGGGCTAGGTGGAGGAGGAAATGGGAAGTTACTATTCAAGAGGCATAAAAATTTTAGTCAAGCAAGATTAAGAAGCTTGAGAGATCTACTGTACATCACTGTACCTACAGTCAGTAACAATGTATTGTGCACCTTAAAATATGATAAAAGGGTAGATACAGTATTAAGTGTTCTCACCACAATAATTTTTTATAATAGTAATGAAAAAAATTTATGAAAATCAGAGTAAATAAATTTAATTCCTCCTACAAAAACTTGAATGTAACCCAAAGATTGAATTTTAATGATGTGTTTAAGATATGAACTTAAAACCAAAAGATGGGTAAATATGTATTAGTTAAATGAAACAAAAAAATTATCAGGGAGTTCACAGTCCACATCCAAAAGCATTACATTGAATTTAGAGGTTCATTTCTCAATAACGAATTTTAAAATGATAAAGTTAAATCTATAATAAAGATTTACAGACATGAGCCTTTGCTTATGGCAGTTTTTAAATATGTCCACAATTTTTTAAAATAATCCTCCCTTCAAAGGTAGAGACTAATCCTCTGCCATTGAATGATGGCTGGACTTAGTGACTCACTTCTAATAAATAGATGAAAGCAGAAGTGATGGTGTGCAATTTTGGAGACTAGTTCACAAAAGGCACAAATATTTCCTCCTTGCTCACTGTAGAAAAAGCCAACAACCATGTCGTGAATAGCCCTATTGTTAGACCCCTGGGGAAAGGAATTGAGGCCTCCTGTGTTGGCTGTTGAGACAGTGAGGAACTGAGTTTGCCAGTCAACAACCACATGAGTGAGCCTTCCTGGAAGCAGACCCTCCAGCTCCAGCCAAGACTGCAATCCAGGCCCACGTCTTGACTCAAGCTTGTGAGATACCAGAACCAGAAACAGCCAGTGAAGCATTCCCATATTCCTGGCTGTCAGAAATTGCGAGATAATAAAACTTCTTGTTTTTAGCTGCTAAGTTTTAGGGTAATTTACTATGCAGTAACAGATAACTAGAACAGTGTTGGAAAAGAAAGCATCCAAATACATCATGCAAAAATGTCAAAGCACAGGGAGAAAATGAAAGATATAACTCTTTAGATACAATAGCTGAAGTAAAAAAGAAGAATTTCAGATGAAGAAATATGAATACAACTTTTTGAACAACAATTTAGTGAAACATATTTAATGACTGTATGTTGATGTGTACCTTAGAACATTTATAATATTAATGTCCATGAAACATTTATAAAATTGTATCATATGCTAGACACTACAAAGACCAGTACACAAACACAGACACGCAGCAAAGCAAAAGTCAAACTGCCCACAATCTCTAACCACTATACAATATAACTAGACAATAACTGTAGTATTTTCAAGAAAATTAGAATAGTTAGAAAGTTTTTAAAAATCTTTAAAAATATTGTGTCTAAGAAGAAATTAAAACTCTAAATTTAAAATATTAAATACATAAAATGACCAACCTTAACAAAAAACAAAATTCCTAAGTCAATTAGCCAATGATTTTATAAGTAGATTTTTCAAATAGTCAAAATACATTCAAGCCAATTATACCAACTTATTTACATTTCACCAGAAATGTCTTTTTTTTTTAACCACTGTAAAGAACAGGCAATGCATCAGACTGATATTTCAGGTACTAGAAATAACTGAGGCTGTGATAATAATTGAGAACAAATAAATGGGGATTCAGGCAGGAAAATTTCAAATATACAGCAAGTTTATATTAAGTGATGAACAATAAAAATTATGAACTCTCATTTTCTTCCATGTTAGCTATATTTTATAATTTAGCACAATTACCTAATACATATTTCAAAAGAAACTTTGATATCCATAACAACATGGAGGGTTGCTTTTGATAAGGAAAATATAGGCTCTATAGTAAAATAATTTGCCAAGAGTCTCTATCTCTTTACAATTAATTCAACAACAACAAAAAGAGACATAATCTTCACTTACTGCAGGGAACAGAGAATGAACAAATTTAAACATTTTCAGACCTTCATTTCAACCTGAACGATTAACTGAAGTCACTTTAGCACATAACTGTATAGATTCAACATCTTTATCAATGCACAGAAGAGATTTCTCATATTCTACTTAAGTAGACAGAGTATAGGTATTTTTACTATAACATAAAAATAAACCTTATTCTCTCTCTCTCTCTCTTTGAAAAATCATGTAGTAAGATTAAGAGACTGAGAAAAATATGCAAGTGGTAATAAAAGGGAAAAAAACAAAAGCAATTATAAATCATATAAAAGACAAAATTAGCTTAAAAGACATGTAAAATTCATAATAAATAAATACTTCATTTAATATAGGAATTTATCTTTTTAAAGATGTGAAAGTACCTTGATGTAAGATTATATAAATAACAGAGACAAGGGTAAAGTATACAAAAATTGGGGGCCGGAGCGGTGGCTCACACCTGTAATCCCAGAACTTTGGGAGGCCAAGGCGCATGGATCACCTGAGGTCAGGAGTTCGAGACCAGTCTGACCAACATGGAGAATCCAGGTCTCTATTAAAAATACAAAATTAGTGGCCAGGCTCGGTGGCTCACGCCTGTAATCCCAGCACTTTGGGAGGCCCAGGAGGGCCGATTACGAGGTCAGGAGGTCAAGACCATCCTGGCTAACACGGTGAAACCCTGTCTCTACTAAAAATACAAAAAATTAGCCAGGCGTGGTGGTGGGCGCCTGTAGTCCCACCTACTCGGGAGGCTGAGGCAGGAGAATGGCATGAACCCAGGAGGCGGAGCTTGCAGTGAGCTGAGATCGCGGCACTGCACTCCAGCCTGGGCGACAGAGCAAGAATCCATCTCAAAAAAAAAAAAAAAAAAAAAAAATTGGCTGGGCATGGTGATGCATGCCTGTAATCCCAGTTACTCAGGAGGCTGAGGCAGGAGAATCGATGGAACCTGGGAGGCAGAGGTTGCAGTGAGCTGAGATCGCGCCATTGCGTGTTAGCCTGGGCAATAAGAGGAACACTCTGTCTCAAAAAAATAAAAAAATAAAAAAAATTGAGGAAGACTGCAATCACACTTTCCGGATGGAACACATGACGAGCCCTAAGGAGGGATGCAAGGACTCTGGACACTGCATTCAGAATTGTATTCCTTCATCACTTGCTCAGTCAACTGCGCTCGTGTCCTACACATACACTGGCTCTGATGCAAAAACTAACACTGGAAAAAATCATGAATACATTAATGTAACTTTGACATTACACTGACATAGTTCACGTTTTACCAAATGTGTGTCAGCTAATTCTCATTTGAGAGTCTCATATTGTGACAGAACAGACTTTATGAGCTAAGAGATTTGCCTCACAGTTTCTTCTAATAAATAGTTAATTCCTTCCTTAAATGGGGCCTCTTTTTATGATTTCACATTTCCTTTGTTCTTTGTGAGATAGGAGAAGCCTGGATTATTTTGTTGCAATATTATGAGAGAAATTGTGACTATATCCCAATGCATGTAATTTTGATACATAAAGTGAACAAAAAATACATTTAAAAAGGAGAATAAAACCCAATTTCATGCAAGAATATAGATGGAACATTTTCTCAACAATATACTGAAAGAATGTCCTATGATGAAATAAAGTTTAATACGAGCAATTTAAGGTTGATTTAAGAGTGTTATTTAATATTAATACATTATTAATATTAATTAATATTAAGAGCTCAAATGGGAAAAAATCACAATATGTGACAATATGCAGCACCTATTCCTGACTAAATCTCATCGTAAACTAGAATAACATAGAATAAAGAAAATTTATTTCAGACTCCACCATTTACGAAAAAAACAGTAAAAGCCTGGAATCTTATTAAAGTCAGAAATAAGAATGATCACTGCTTTTTTATTATTAATTAATATGGAAGTTCTCAGTGTATTAACATATTACTCTTTATGATTAATCTAGAAGTTATATGTGTATTAACAAAAACATAATTTAAGAACTGCAGTTTTTGAAAAAAATATATAATTATCATCTCTTCCATGACCAGTACATGAATTTAACAAACTACCTGTGAGATTTGTTCTTTTTTTTTCCTTTGTAACTTGACTACATAATTCTAATATTTATACTGAAGAATAAACAGGTGAAAATACCTCTTTAAGAGATGGGAAAGAAATGTAACAAGTGGAATATTTTCCTGCTAGATATTAAAACATAAATTAAACAATGTGGTATTGGCACTTACTTGACAAAATTGGGAATACTATAGATTGCCCTCACATGAAACCTAGTATATCTAAGAATGCAGTTTATAATAAAGGAGGCACTGCAAGTCCGTGCAGAAGAGAGGAATTATTCAAGAATAGTAGACAGAAAATAACTAGGGGAAAGTATTGACCAAAGAAATTAACCAAATTTTAATTTTCTTACCATCTAAACAGTAAATTAACTGCACACAGTAGAAAAGAAATGGACAAATTACATAGAGACTTTAAGAACAAAAAATATGTAGCAAAAATATTAAAATATTTAAATGTAGTCACTTAAAAACTCAATTTCTATAATAGTAGATAAAATTTTAATCATGTGAATGAGCATTAGAATGTTATTCAAATTGCTTATGACTTAACACTGATTTAATTGTAGGCATTTAAACACAAAAATTAGGTAATTTTAACATTTTTTGAGATATAATTCATATAAAATGGAATTCACCATTTTAAAATACATAATAATGTGAACCTTCACTCATCGTTCACCAAAAATGCAGTTACTGTACATTCTGACTCAATTAGACTTTTAATCAACAATGTATAATGTTGTGGCCACTGTTTTTTTTTTCTGTATGTCTTTATCCTTATCATGGACTCTGGAGGATGTAAAGTAAGTACATGTAATCAGCTGTCATCTGGGCCACATATTTCTTTCCTGTACTTAGGATCATGATCACAGGGAATCTAGTTCCAAAAATGGAACAGCCAAACAAAAACAGCAGTTAACTAAACAAATGACAAGAAGAAATTTTCCAAATGTACATGACTTTTGCTCAACCTTCCAAGTCCATCTATTTACACTGCATTTCTTAGATATGTAACTGCTTTATTGAAGTATAATTCACATGCCATACAATTCACCCATTTCAATTGTGCAATCCAAAGGCTTTTAATGTCTGCAGTGTTGTAACCATCACCACAATCAACTTCAGATCATTCTCATCACCCCCAAAAAACACCCTGTATCGGTTAGCAGTCACTCTTCATTTCTCTCCAGCCCCACTGGGCCTATTCAAAAATTAAGGTATTTTCCCACTAAAAATGTGCCTCTTGTATAAAATTTACATAAATAGAATCATACAGTATGTGGCCTGTAAAGGAAAGATATTTATAGAATTCTAAGGCCTGGCCAGAGTGATCTTGAGGCAGGTCTTACAAGGCAGAGAAGTGTTGTGAGTGGGCAGAGTTTATTTGGATTGGTGAATCTAGCAGGAAGAGGACCCTGAAGAGAGTCTGGAAGGGCCAGCTGTTAGTTTTGATAAGTAAACTAGCTGTTTCACAGTCTTTCTTCCAGGAGCAAGTATTTCCTGGAATATGCACTTAAGTTGCTTTTGCTTAGTCCTAGTACTGTTGAACAAGGGACAAAGAATAATCTTGGTTTCTGTTATACAGCCTGATGTAATTATTTCCCAGCAAGACATACATTTTAAAATTTTTGTTGCTTTATTAGTGCCTCTATGTTAAACATTAACTTGGAGCATGTAATACATGAAAGGAATGTCTTATTTCCGATTTTAAAGCAAACACGTCCCCATTATGCTGATGGCATTATACAAAAGTTCACCAACTTGTCAGGTTTTTTTTTTCCTATTATGTTTTTATTTTTATTTTTAAATTTGTATTTCCATGATGTTGTATCTAAACATATATATTGTTGCTATTTGACACATACTGAACAATTAGATATGCATTATGGATTGTATCTTTTATTATTATAAAGTATACATCCTCATTTCTCAGGGGCTTTGCTTTTTTCTTTTTGTCACTGCCCTATATTTATCCTCTAGGCCCACCTTCTTCACTCTCAGCTGACACATTAGCTCAGCTGACCCCACATGTGGCTCTAGGGTAGGAAGGTGACCCAAAAACAGCCAGTGAGAGTTTCAGTAGATGCTTCATAGAGCAGACAGGAGATTTTAATTGATGGGAAATAAGATCTTTTTGTTGTTAATGTTGCTAACCTGGCAGATTTTAGGCCTACAGCTACTGAGGTACTTTGCTCCCACTTGGAGGCAGCCTGCCTGGGAAAGAAACCCACAGAGACTAAAGTTTCATTGAGAGGTAGAAAAGATTCCTGATAACATATGACGAACTAGATCAAGTCAGACCTTCAGTTTCTGCACTTGTGATCATGTGATCCAATAATTTCCCCACTCACTTTTTAAAGGGATTTAAGTGAATGTGAGTTTCTATCACTGCCCCCCACACACAAATCCACCTATTACAAGAACTAATTGTTTTAACGCTTTTAAAAAAAAGCTTTTCAACATGTTATGTCAAAGCATAATTTTCAAAAAGATGAAGCATAGGTCCCTAAAACTAATATGTAATGAGCAGTTGTGAAAATTCTGTTTAGTTATGTAATTAGGAAACAAGCAACACAATAAACCTTCTTGAAATAAAAAATGCAAGAGACTAGCATTATACACAGTGACAGAAAGAAAGCTGGAATACTATCTTAATGTTAGTATTTTTAATGATTAATATCTTTCAGGGATACTTGGGTTTGTTGTTTCCAACCAGACAAAAATAAATTACAACTCTACAGGACAAAAATTATTTGCAATGGGGCTGGGCACGGTGGCTCACACCTGTAATCCCAGCACTTTGGGAGGCTGAGGGGGGGGCGGGGTGGACCATGAGGTCAGGAGATCGAGACCATCCTGGCTAACATGGTGAAACCCGGTCTCTACTAAAAATACAAAAAATCAGCCCAGCGTCGTGGCGGGCACCTGTAGTCCCAGCTACTCAGGAGGCTGAGGCAAGAGAAGGGCGTGAATCCGGGAGGCGGAGCTTGCAATGAGCCAAGATCATGCCGCTGCACTCCAGCCTGGGGGACAGAGCAAGACGCCATCTCAAAAAAAAAAAAAAAAAAATTATTTGCAATGAATCAATGTTCTGGAGATTAACATCTATTTGGTATGGCTTTTAGCAATAGTAAAATAAAAAATCATCTAAAAAATATTACATGTACCTGGAGAGGCTCAGGTAGTTTGCCCCATTATATCATAAAAATAGTACGCAGTTTTACGATATTTTGATGTTTTCAATACTTTTTCTTAAGTTATTCCTTTATTCAAAAAGGTTACAACTACATGTTTTGCAATATGGATGGAATGTTGTTAGAACTCCTCCCTATGCAATTGGGATAAAAGTCTCCTATCCCTGGATCAAAACCTGGAAGTCATACTTAGACTTCCAAATATCCAAAAATGTACAGCTCCTTGCTCAACTGTGATATCCAGCATCAAGCATCCACTGCTGGTTAGATAGAATGAAGTGGGCTCTTTTTCAAATTAGAATATCCAAAAGTCATACCTCTAATCTATGGACAAATGCAGCTCATACTTTAATGAAGAATTTATTAGATTTCACCTGTTTTGTAGCATGTACCCCAGTATTTCATTTCTGTTTATAACTGAATATTTCATTGTATGCATAAACCACATTTTATTTGTCAGTTCATCAGCTGATGACCATTTGAGTTGTTTCCACCTTGGGGCTATTGTAAATAATGCTATTATGAACATCTGTGTAGAAGTTTGTGTGTAAATATACGTTTTCAATTCTCCTGTGTATGTATCTACGAGTTGAACTGATAGATCAAGCTTGCATTCCTGCAATAAATTCCACTTGGTAATGTTGTATATTTTCATGTCCTGTAAATTCAGTTTTCTAGAATTTTGTTGAAGATTTTTGCATCTATATTTACTAAGAGATATCGGTCAGTAGTTTTCATTTCTTTTAATGGGTTTGTCTGGTTTGTGTATCAGGGTAATATTGGCCTCACCAAATGTTTTGGAAGTGTTCCATCATCCTTTCATTTTGGGAAGAATTTGTGTAACATAGTAGGAATTCATGTTTAATGTTTGGAAGCATTCATCATGAAAGCCATCTAGTTGAACACTTTTCTTTATGGGACTTTTTTTGCTTACCAATACAATCTCTTTACTTGTTCTAGGTCTATTCGGATTTTACACTTCACTAAATTTTGGTAGCTTGCATCTTTGTAGGAGTTGTTTGTTTCACCCACTTATGTAATCTGTTGATTTCTAATTTTTCATTCCCTTATAATGCTTCTTATTTCTGTGAAGTCAGTAGTTAAGTCCTTTCTTTCACTCCTGATTTTAATCATTTGAGCTTTCTTTTTTTTCTTGTTCAGTCTATCTAAAAGTTTTATCAGTGTTGTTAATATTCTCATAGAACTTTTGATTTTGTTGATTTTATTCTTTTTCTATTCTCTGTTTAACTCGTTTCCTTTAAAATCATTTATTACGTCTTTTCTTCTGTACATTTTGGGTTTAGTTTGCTCTTGTTTTTCTTAAGGTGGGAGGTTAGATTATTGATCTGAAACCTTTTTTTCTTTCATAATGTAGGCATTTATAGCTATAAATTAGCCACTGAGTACTGTTTTCACTGTATCCAATAAGTTTTGGTACATTGTATTTTCACTTTTATTCTTCGCAAAATATTTTCTAAATTCCCTTGTGATTTCTTTGATTCGTTCATTATTTAGTAGTGTCTTTATTATTTTACATGGACATATGATTGTCCCAAACTGTCCCGTGTTATTGATGTCTAATTTCAGTATGTTGTGATCAGAGAGCATATGATTTTCATATTAGTTTGCTAAGTCTTCTGTAACAAATTACCACAAAGTGAGCTGTGCCACAATTTATTGTTTCATAGTTCTGGGGGCAAAGGCAATCTAGTTAAAATGAGACATTGGGGTGGACCCTAGTCCAGCGTGACTGATGTACTTATATAGACACAGGCATGCAGAGAGGAAAGACAATGTGAACATACACAGGGAGAAGACAGCCGTGCACAAGCTGATGCTGGAGGTCAAAGTAGATCCTTCCCTCACAACCCTCAGAAGGAACCAAGCCTGCTGACACCTTGGTTTTGGACTTTTAACCTCCAGTACTGTGAGACAATACTTTTCAGGTCAAGTCAAGATAAACCTTTTAAATAATGTCTTCCAAATTGGTCCAATAATGGCAATTATTGGGGAATAAGACTTTAAGAGACTAGATCTGTTCTGCTATCTTCATTGCCAGGAATGTAGGCTGTTATTTCTCGAGGCCACTAGTGAGAGGCAGAGCAGAAGATGACACTAGGGGAAGTTCACAAAGCTCACTGTTCTTACCTGTATGCAGTGATTTTTCGTCAACTGCTCCCTGAGTTGCTGAAAACCACTGGTTCATTTCCAAAATTCTGAAAAATTTGATTGTGACATTTTTGCCAGATTTTGTATTGTTTTTATAGAGGAGCAAATTTTCAAATGTTCTTCCTCCAACATTAGACTGATACCATATGCAAAACAAATTTATCAAAGCACCTTTTGGTAATAGTATAAAAAGGTGAAGATATTTAAAAAGAGAAATGAAAACATAAATGGTAGTCAACTTATATAATGACATACTGTAAAGCCATTAAAATGATTTGAAAATATTAATCATATATAGAAATATTCATATTTGTATCATGATTCAAGATTCAAGAAAATAGCATTAGCTATTTATTTAAGATGTCAATGTTCACACAAATATTATATTAGCACTAGTATACATATTAGTCCTCACCAGTTATTATTATTATTAGTGAATACTAATATTTACTGAATATTCTAAATTCAGGTAATTCTGACTCCAACACCCTCCTGCTTAACTAGTTAAGTACTAGGCCTCTGGGTGGGATCTCCCTGTTACCCTCTCCCTAAAGACCCAAAGCCTCCCTGCATTTCCCTAATAGGTGAGACACGTCCATTTTTTTATGTATATTCGTTTTACTGTTTGATTTTCCATTAAAAGACGAGTTTTCTGAGAAGAGAGCCTGTGTCCATATCCTGATAATTCCTATGCTTCAAAGGAGTAGGCACCCCAGGAATAATTGGTTTTTTGAATGATCAAGGTTAAATAAATGAATAAATAAATGAACAAATGTGTATATAATATTTTCATTAGTCTTGTGGTTTGAAGGCATATGCAGAATTGTGTTAAATGGTCACTCTCTTGACAGACAAGAAGACAGGCAATCGAAAATTTTTATCTTCATGACACGTTCCTCAAGCTTCCTAATACAACACAAGATAGCAGGACCTGCTCTAGCCAAACAGACAAAGACAACTGGAGGACCAATATATTTTATAGAAATCAGGGTTTAGAGTACATAATGCAGGCATGATAATCCTATCAAGAATGTCAGAAATGGCCACTCTAATGAAAGGGTGATGTCTTAACTGAGCCCTAAATCATATGTAACAAATGTCAGAGAAACAAGAGAGAAAATCCCAGACTGAGAAAATAGCACATGTAATTTTCCTGGGATATGAGAGAATGTGATACACGTCAGACACTGAGAAAAGAGAGCAAAGGCGTAGAGCTAAAAATGAAGCCTGAGAAGAAGTGATTTGAGAGATCTCAGAGTCTTCACAGGCCATTTAATGGATTTTGAATTTGTTCACAAGGCCATGGAAGGTCACTCAGTGGGTTTCACTAGATAATTAACATATTTAGAATGGCACTTATAAAAGAGCATCCTGGCCACACTGTGAAGAAGAACGGGGATCAGAATATGGCTGTCGAAGTCTAGAAGATACAGCAATGGCCAAGCCAAAAAATGATAATGCCATGGACTGGGCTATGTACAAAACAAAACAAAACAAACAAACAAACAAACAACAAACAGGATTTCAGAGAAATTGAGGAATTACAATTTCCAGGATTCAGTGATGTGTTAGATATGGTTAATGAGTGTGGTCAAAAAATTAAGGATGGGACAACTCTCCCAATGCCCAATTTTAAAGTAGTCTTCAGTGAATTTCAACATTTCTAAATACCCTCAATCATTCTCCATCGATCCACCATTTTTTCTTTCTGAGGATTAATTCCAATGCAGAGTATTTAACTTTAGCAAACTGATTTTCAACAAAATCAACTTTCTCAGTATGGACTGCCCTAACAACAGCCAATATCTGACAAACTCTAAATGCATGCATAGTATTGCTCAAACACTTTACATTATAAAATCATTTCATTTCTCTTTTACAGAAGTGAAAACTGAGGTATAAAGAATTAACTTGGCTAGATTTGCATAGGCAATGTATATCTAAGATAATATATTTAAAAGGGAAAAAGAGTGCAATTGTATTTGTAAACTTATTGTTACTATATATATATGTACATATGGGTAACACATAGGGTTTCTATGAATAATGAGGGATAGAGAGAATAAAGGGGAGAATATGTTTTTCAACTTTAATAAGAAAATTATTTTCTGTTCTTCTAAAGTTAATTTATACTTAAATCATAATATATAATCATGAAATATCCGAACCTTAGGTGAGCAATATATAATCTATAATGGCCTTCCAAGACAAAGCCACTATGTCTTCTCAGCAGGGCAGACTGTCCTTTCTCACAAAAAAGAAAAATTGTATTATTATGCTTCAGTGCAACTTCTCAGAGGGGAGCAGCTAAAAAGAAATGCTGCTTCTCATTTCATTAAAAATAATAAAGCACCAAGAATATTTCATCTGAAATATCCCCAACCCCAATTTTCATTAACTGCACAATTCCAGATGTCAAGTCTCTGATTCAGACTTGGAAGGAGTATGTTGTAGATGGCTCTAAATCATTGATTTTGGAATCACATACATGATTCAAGTACCTAATTACCTCTAAAGAATATCTAGTAGACTGAGAAGGTGTTGGAAAAAGATTTATGGAAGTTACTCAATTGCATTCACAGACCTGTTTAAGTTTTGCTTCCTTTCGGTGGCCTGTGCTAATCATTTGGAGCACCCTTTTTTAATGCTCCCAGACTCCTCTGTAAGTTCTGTTGTGTAGCATTTTCACTGCTATTCATTATCTATCTTGTGTAGCATTTCAGTGCTGTTCATTATCTATCTTCCCCGCCACTGTCTGTTCCACAAGGCCAAAGGCTGAGATTGTTTTGCTTCCTGGCATGGTCCCAAATCTTAGTTCAAAGATGAGCACTCAGTTGCTTTTAATTACAGATTATTATGTGGGGTTTTTTATTCAGAAATATTAATACAAGGTGATTCATAGAGAAAATAAAAAAATAGAGTTGTTAATGACAATTCCAGTCTTTGAACTAATTTTCTCAAGCCCAATGATTATAACACTCCTTTGGAAATCACTGGAAATAAATTGGAAAGAACAAGAAGGACTTGGGAAGCACAGTGTCTTTGAAAGCTCACCTGGGTCCTGTCACCTCAGAGTCACTCCACATTTAGCTCTTCCTAGAGTCACCACATCCATTCCTCCTTTTGAATCTGCCTACATGGTTTTCTTACCTCCCAAGCCTCATTTCATAGTTCAAAAATCATCTTTCCAATAAATTCACAGACTTCATCTAACTTCAGATTCTCAAAAGTTCTTATCTTCCAGAGTACATGAGTAATTCTGATCATCCACACACTTATACATCCTTTCTCCATTGGTAATTTACCAATAAGAACTGAATTTACAATGAGAACTGAAAATATACATAAGCCATATTTTCCATTCTTCTCCATTAGGTCAAGATCTTTTACTTTATATCATTTTATTTTATTTTTGAGACAGGGTCTCATTCTGTCACCCAGACTGGAGTGCAGTGGTGTGATCTTGGCTACCTTGGCTCACTGCAACCTCCGCCCCCAAGCTCAAGTGATCCTCCCACGTCAGCCTCCCGAGTAGCTGGAACCACAGGTGCGCACCACCATGCTGGCTATTTTTTTGTATTTTTAGTAGAGACAGGATCTCAGCATGTTGCGCAGGCTGGTCTCAAACTCCTGAGCTCAAGGGATCCACCAGCCTCAGCCTCCCGAAGTGCTGGGATTACAGGTGTGAACCACTGTGCCCGGCCTACTTTGCATCATTTCATCATTTATTTTTCCTTACCAACTAATTTCTTCAGACCCAAGAATAGTTCATAAGACATTCAAAGCAGATTGTGAAACAACTGATATAAATGGATATACCAAGATCCATGGAAAATGAAGACTTTAAAAGGTTTCTGATCATCAGAAACTTTTTTTGACAAAAAGCCATAATTGTACATGAATAAATGAGATGAAAGCTGCAATTAGTTCATTTATTTGGGACCTTAGGTTTCTTTGGCACTTGTTTCCATTTAGAATCATTCGGCTGACTGATCTGGGAGCACCTTCCTGCATTTGGATTATCCAACTGCTGAATGCTTCCCTTTTCAATACCATTTGCAATTTAATCGTTTTTAGCCAGAGCTTTGACAATAACATATATAAAATGAATATTCAGGATTTTTGTCAAAATCATATTAAACTCTTCATTCAAGTGTCAATTTCCTTAATCTGCCTTTTTTTCATTTTTTTTCCATTAAGGAGTTATTTGAGTTTCTTACAATCACTTGTTTAATTCCCATGCCAAATCATCAAATGCTCAATAACTGCTTGACTAGATTTGAAAACTTCAGTTAGCTGGATCCCCAGAAAAACGTTTTTGTGACTAAATCATGTCACTGCGAGTAACACATTTATTTAGTCTTATTAGCAGAAAGATCTAAGAGACTCATGGAAACAATGAAAGAGAGTGTTTCAGCCACCATTCCCAATCTGGAAGCACAAGAAAACATCAAGTTGAATGACAAAATACAGTGAAACTGAATAAAAGTGAAAAGTCAGATCCAAAGTATTTACCCTTTAAAGCTTTATCACACATACCAGTTCCTATTTAGAGTACACTTCTCACAGTTTCTATTCAAGCTGCTACTTTTGTATAAAGAACAAAAAGAAAGTGAAGGACATAAACACAGCTACTCTTTGAATAAGAACTGAGTATAAAGACGTTTGTCTTCTACCTTTTTCTAGTATACCTAATACTTAATAACGGCACACTCCCTTCTGTTTTCTTCTGCAAGAGTGAAGAACAAGTTCTTAAAGGAGTCTAGGGCTACTTACAGCTTTCAAAATTTATACTAAAAAGTATCTTTCCTTTGTAAGTTTTAAAAGAGAGTTAGGGATTTTATCTAACAGCCGGCTTTACCCCATAGCTCAAAGAAAGTCAATAGGCTTGCCATGAATTTTTATAGGAAAAAAAACCCCTATGTTCTTCGCTTTATCCACAATGACTTCTATAAAATCATTTTAGAATGATTTGGATAGCTAAAGCTATTCAGTAAGTATCAAGGTCCCTTCAAGTAAAACAATGGACCACTATCTGTAAATCATTTCTGTGCAAACTTCAATACCGTAAAATAAGACCATACATACAATGTGCTACAATTCCATTTAAGCTCTAAATCAAATCATTACTCAAAGGTATTGTGAAGCTTACCTCAGTCAGACTACTCTTTCAGTATTATGCTTCAGAGCTGGAGCCAATAGTCACAGAAGAACTAGAGATAAATGTTTTAAAATATCTCCCTAAGTGGGTACAACGTAAGAGAATTCAATATTGGCAGTAAGAAAGAGCAATTGTAATAAGTAGAATCTACCAAACCAGAATCTCTGAGAGATCTATCCATACCATGATACCAAAGAACTATTGTTCAACCCTATCCTCAAAATAAGATTTCGTGCTAAAATAATAAATTAACAGAATTAAGAATATGGCCAAATTGGGGGTTATAGTCATACACTTTAAATATATTGATATAAATGAAATAAAATATTTGCTGCAAAGTTTACTTTTACTTAAGAAAAGCAATCTAAATATTCCAATATCTCGCTCCCTTGGTTATTCACATCATTTAGGGACAAATATAATCACAGTCTGCTTTGGGTTATAATAAATTAAATGTAACGATTTCACAAATGCCAAAATGCATGCTATTATTAAATAGGTTGAAAAGATATAAAAAGAGCGTGCTGGCTCTTTACTGCAGGAGTGGTGGAAAAAGCTAAAGGTGAAATTATTAGAGGAAAATGTTAGGACTTTTGTAGGATTTTTCAATGTTTAAAATGAAGGAGGCATATTATGCATCTACTACTACTCCAGCCCAAAATGTTCGAATACTGGTGTCAGAGGTCTTATACTAGAAGTTGAACCAGTTCTGGCTGAGGGAGGAAACTTGATTTATTATAGCATCTGCTGGTCATGGTGTAAATTATCTCACTATGGCTCATTTCAACCTACCAAGATGACATCAACCTGCTCACAAAATTCCTGATGACCTCCAGCAAGCTGGTGTAAGCTAGCTCTGGCAAACCACTCTCCAGGGATATCCAAACATGACTGCATAACAGAATCACTGTTTAAGTGAAGAGTAATGATGATCTGTCACATTTGTTACATAAGATAAAGATCCTCTCCATGTATGTTGAAGTTTGCAGATGTTGAAGAAGGTTTCGCAAAATGGTGCAACTGTACAGCAATTCCCAAGACATTTTCTTGTAATTAAAGAGAAGGCAGAGACTGTTTTCAGTGAAATGCTGCTGTGAGACACTGGCTATCTGAAGACTTGAGAGCTTAGCTTCCTATGATATGTCACTACTAAGGACCCTAAACAGAATGAGAAAAAAAAAGAGAGACAACTTTCAAGTTCTGAAGGGCCCAGGTCAAGACTAGAGAGCCAGGAGCTGAAGTCCCAGCTCAGACCCACTTGTGACCGAGACACATGAGGTCATAGTAGAAAACAAAAAAAAGTGAGGTGACAATGACCTTGTTCCACAGCCTAATGCTCCCAGGGGAAAATCCCCAGGACTCTTATGAGGAATGTTGACTACTATTTTACTACTAGTATGGGGAGAAAAGCAGAATAAAGAATACATTTTTTAACATAAGGGAAAACTACCTTCTTCACTTTTCAGGTGTATTATCTATCTATAACGCTAACAATGCTGCTATTATTGTTTTATTAAAAACTAGCACTTACTGCATGATTACTTTTTCAAAGGCACAATGGCAAACTACTTGATTTTTCCTTAAACACCCATACGAGGTATATACTTTTAGTATTCTATTTTTCAAATTTAAAAGCTGAATCAAAGAGAGATAAATGTCTTCGGAGCATAAAGCTGGAAACTAAGACAGCTGAAACTGAAATCTAGGTATCATTCCAAAGCTTGTATCTTTAATGATTTTACTTTCTCTTCCTTATTTTCTCTTTAAGATAAATTTAATAAAATTGAGAAAATCAAAATATGGGGTATATATTTGTGTTACTTTTTAAGTGATTTAAATAAATTTTAAAATAGTTTTAAAGTAATGTTAACTAACATGAAGCTCTTAATTTTTATGAAGGCAGGATATGCATGAATAAAATAAAAAAGTGTGCAAATATCTAAGGTGTGCAAATAGTTAAACATCAGTAACCAAAACAGAACGCCTTATTCTAGAAGCCAAAAGTAGTTTTGCTCTATGTGTACTAATTATACTGACATTTCATCCCCAAAATATAAAATAATATCAGCTTTTCCTTATTCTCAAAACTCTAGCATTGATATGATTTGGCTTTGTGTCCCCACTGGAATCTCAACTCGAACTGTAATACTGACGTGTGGAGGGAGAGACCTAGTGGGAAGTGACTGGATCATGGGGGTGGTTTCCCCTGTGCTGTCCTCATGATAGTAAGGGGGTTCTCACGCACTCTGATGGTTTACAAGTGGCAGTTGCTCCTGTGCTCTCTTTCTCCTCTGCTGCCATGTAAGATGTGCCTTTCTTCCCTTCCACCTTCCACCATGATTGTAAGTTTCCTGAGGCCTCCCAAGCCATGTGGAACTGTGAGTCCATTAAACCTCTTTCCTTTCTAAGTTACTGACTCTCAGGGGGTTCTTTATAGCAGTGTGAGAATGAACTAATACAGAAAACTGGTACTGGGAGTGAGGCACTGCTATAAAGATAACATGAAAATGTGGAAGCAACTTTGGATGTGGGTAATGAGCAGAGATTGGAACAGTTTGAGGGCTCAAAAGAAGACGGGAAGATGTGGGAATGTTTGGAACTTCTTAAAGACTTGTTGAATCGTTTTGACCAATATGCTGATAACGACATGGACAATGAAGTCCAGGCTGAGGTGGTGTCAGATGGAGATGAGGAACTTATTGAGAATTGGAGCAAAGGTCACTTTGCTATGCCTTAGCAAAAAGACTGGCAGCATTTTGCCTCTACCCTAGAGATCTGTGAAACTTTGAACTTGAGAAAGATAATTTAGGATATCTGGCAGAAGAAATTTCTAAGCAGCAAAGCATTTAAGAGGTGACCTGGCTTTTTCTGAAAGCGTACAGTCATATGCATTCACAAAGAAATGATTGAAATTGTAACTTATGTTTAAAAGGGAAGCAGAGCATAAAAGTTTGGAAAATTTGCAGCCTGACCATGCAGTAGAAAAGAAAAACCCATTTTCTGGGGAGAAATTCAAGTCTGCTGGATATATTTGCATAAATAATGAGAAGTTGAATATTAAAAGCCAAGACAATTGTCTTCAGGGAACTTCAGAGATCTTCACACCAGCCCCTCCCATCACAAGCCCAGAAGCCTACAAGGGAAAAATTGTTTCATGGGTCAGGCCCAGGGCCTCAGTGCTCTGCACAGCCTTGGGACATGGTGCCCTGCCTCCCAGCCCCTCCAGCTCCAGCTGTTACTAAAAGGGGCCATCATATGGCTCAGGCCATTGTTTCAGAGAGTGGAAGCCCCAAGTCTTGGTGGCTTGCATGTGGTGCTGGGCCAGTGGGTGTGCAGAAGATAAGAGTTGAGCTTTAGGAGCCTCTGCCTAGATTTCAGAGGATGTATGGAAATGCCTGGATGTCCAGACAGAAGTCTGCTGCAGGGGCAGAGCCCTCCTGAAGAATCTCTATTAGGGCAGTACAGAGGGGAAATGTGGGGTTGGAGACCCTACACAGAGTCCCTAATGGGGTACTGCTTAGTGGAGCTGTAAGTGGGCACTGTCCTCCAGACGCCCGAATAGCAGATCCACCAACAGCTTACCCCATGAGCCTGGAAAAGTCATAGGCACTCAATGCCAGCTGTGAAAGCAGCTGTGGGGGCTGTGCCCACCAGAGCCACAAGGGCAGAGCTGCCCAAGGCCTTGGGAGCCCAAGCCTTCCATCAGTGTGCCCTGGACGTGAGACACGGAATCAAAGGAGATCATTCTGGAGCTTTAAGATTTAATGACTGCCCTGCTGAGTTTCGGACTTGCATAAGGCCTATGGCCACTTTGCTTTGGCCAATTTCTCTCATTTGGAACAGGAACATTTACCCAATGCCTGTATCCTCATTGTATCTTGGAAGTAACTGACTTGTTTTTTATTTTACAGGCTCATAGTTGGAAGGGAGTTGTTTTGTCTAAGATGACACTTTGGACTTGGACTTCTGAGTTAATGCTGGAATAAGTTAAAGCTTTGCAGAACTATTGGAAAGGCATGATTGGTTTTGAAATGTGAAAAGGATGTGCAATTTAGGAGGGGCCAGGGGCAGAATGATATGGTTTGGTTCTGTGTCCCCACTCAAATCTCATCTCAAATTGTAATTCCCACATGTTGAGGGTGGTGTCTGGTGGGAGGTGATTGGCTCATGGTGGCAGTTCCCCCCATGCTGTTCTTGTGATAGTGAGGGAATTCTCATGACATCTGATGATTTAAAAGTGTCAATTTCCCCTGTGCTCTCTCTCTCTCCTGCTGCCACGTAAGACATGCCTTGCTTCCCCTTCACCTTCTACCATGATTGCAAGTTTCCTGAGGCTTCCCCAGACATGTGGAACTGTGAGTCAATTACATCTCTTTTCTTCATAAATTACCCAGTCTCAGGCAGTTCTTTATAACAGTGTGAGAATGGACTAATACAAGCGTCAAGCAAAGAAAAACAGCTCTGAAAATGACAAGTGTCATAGCCGCTGATGTAGAGACTTGTATTCCTTTGACAAGTCCCTCAGTCCCTTTAGAAAGGCAAGATACCTTGCCAATCACATAAAGCTAAGATAAAAGCAAAAATTAAATATAAGTTCTAGGCTCAAAATATTCTAATCTAGTTCTCTCTAACCAGTTTTTGAGACAGTATTCCACTTCTGATACCTGTTTTTTCTTATCTTGGAAGAAATAAGTGCTTCCTTCTCTGCATTTCAACAGACCAGTACTCATACACAAGGCTATGATTGCCTCTTGTCTCATCACCCTTCCCTACCAGGAAGGGGAAAGCTTCTTCAACTCAGTAAATGAAATTGATCTTTCAATTCCAAGTATCTAGCATAGTGTATTTCTCAGGAGTTTAATAAATGTTGGAAAAACTAACGACAACTTGTGAAACAGTTGTAAAAGATGCAGCAATGTATCTCACATATCTGTTAAAATCGTCTCTCCTTCTGTCCCTACTAATTTCTTCCTTTAAATGACCAAATTCAGATCGTATTTGGAACCTCTAAACTAAAATTTTGAAAGAACTATACCTTTTGATGTTACCTGGGGAGAAATTTTTCCATATCACCTTTCCATTTTATCATTATCATGTCCTCAATCCCCAAAATTCTCAACTACTTACTCCCCCAGCAGAATACTCTATTTCTTGCTACATAAATTCAACTTTTGACACCTGTAGTGGTAGAGGACAAATGTTCAGTGTTCCACTTCTGATCCCCAGAATAATTTAGGATCATTTTTGTAATAAAATTGTAAACTATACATTCAGATCATTTACTTTCCTTTACCTAATCACTGACTGGAAGCCCAATTTTATGATAACTGCTAAGTGCGACATTATTGTTAGAAAAACACTACAGTAATTGCAGTGAAGTGAAAAATGAATCCAGAGCTCTACATATATTAAATCAAAAGAAACACATACATTAAGAAGAAATTGAGACAATACCAACTGAAGGATTGGATTTCTGGGCAAACAACATGCACTTACTTCTTTCCTCACTACCCACCAGTTTATCCCATACCTCTGTGGAAATGCCACAAATAATTGTCAGAAAGAGGTGGTATATTAAAAGTAAAAATTAATACTCAACTCCCCAGTTCTGTAATAACCACAGTTTCAAGAAATCAGGCAGAAACCTAGCTGGTTTCAGAAGCATAAATTTTGCTGGTGCTAATATTGAACATAATTAATCACTGCATAAGCTCCTAATGAAATATATAACCTAAGCAGTGGTATATACCACCAATGGATTTCAATATTCAGTACCAAATAGCATTTAAAATTTAGTAAGGCATATAAGATCTTGTCATATAAACATCTTCCTTTAAGATTTTTATTGATTACATAATTTATTAAATCTTTCAGGATGCTCTAAAAAATTTTCACTAACAGACTACTAATAACATTTCTTGGGGGGAAAAGTAAGATTCCTCTAAATTTATGGACTTTCTATTTCCAAGTGAAAAATACATAGTTCGTTTGTATAGAGGAACAAGCTGCACACATTCTACGAGGGGAAGGAAAGAAGAATACAAAAGAGGACATTGTGTCTATAAATATTAATAAATATGTTTCTGACACTCAACGTACTGTGCTACAGGAACTTCAATATCAACATTTGCATACATGACTTTAACTTGACAGCAACAGTGAAATTATATCTTTTCATCAGTAATACAAGAGGGAACATTTTAAAAGATAAATACATAATGTGGTAGCCTTGCATGTAATTTCAATTGTGTTGACCTTTATAAAGAAAATGGGAACAGGGATTTAATGAAACAAATATTCATTTCAAATTTCATTCTTACAAAGTACAGGATACCACGGAGAGCAAATGCCTTGGGAAAGGGTGAATTATGTTCTCTCCTCTATAACCTGAGAGTGGCCCTCAGCTCCTATCAGTCAGGGGCAGCAGTTGATTCCTAGCTGCAGCAGCAAGTAATACCTGTGTAGAAACCCACAGAACTAATTTCTGGTCTGGCCCAGGATGACGTAAAGCTAAAAGCAAGCAAAGTAACCCAAAGAAAATAAGCCACTAATCAGTATATGAACAGAATATAAATAATGCCGTTTCTCCTTGAAAAATAAGATAGATGTACATATCTGGATATCTGTTTGCTAGTAGTCTGGTAGTAGGCAGTGGAAATTTATTTTTCATTAATTATCTAAATTTAAAAAAATATATAGGTAAATATCTTCATTAGTTGAAATGAAATTTTGATATCTTAATGTTGTAACTGCATCAATCAAAAAATAATACTACACTAAATTGAAAAACATAAAAAAACACCCCATGTTATAATATGTTTTAGAGTGAAAATTTCAACTGCAAAGCATCAGAGAAAAGCTGTTAAACCAAGAGTCCAAAGATGTACAGGTTCTAATCCCAGCTCTACAACTAATGCAGTATAAGACTTCTGGGCTTCAGTTTCCTTGTTGTCAAAATGTTGGTGGTTAGACAACAGATGTACATTTTAAAGGACCTTAGAAATGATTTATTCCTTTGAAAAATCATTTTACAGACTTTACAAAGATTGTTTCTATTTGTAGTTCTCCCTTGACTTTAAAAATGTATTTATATTTATTATAGTATTCACATTATTACAAAAAATTAGGATAATAAATGTAGTTTTCTAATATATTTTTAAAATTATAATATATTCATGCAAAGAGAAACCATAAAACTGTGTCTTTAAAGGAAAATCAAGACTTGGTTTTAAAGGTGAACTCAAAACACTTTTTGAGTGACTCGTATTATGCACTCTTTAAAAAAATAAAAGTTGTATATATGTAAGTTGTATAATGTGATATATCATAAAGTGATTAACTACATTTAAGCTAATTAATGTATCCATCACCTCACATGGGTGCTGTGTGTTTGTGGGTGTATAATGAAAACACTTCAGGTTTATTCTCTTAGCAAATGTCAAGTATACAATGTAGTATTATTAACTATAGTCATGCTTTACATTTGATGCCTAGAACTTACTCATCCTACACAACTAAAACTTTGACCACAGTCCCCCAATTCTAAACCCCATCCATGCTCCTGGTAACCATCCATTATTATATTCTCTGCTTTTGTGGTTTGACTTTCTTAGATTCCAAATATAAGTGAGATCATGCAGTATTTGTCTCTCCGTGGTGGCTTATTTTATTTAACATGTCTTCCAGATTCATTCATGTTGTTGCAAATGACAGAATTTCCTTCCTTAAGACAGAGTAATATTTCATGTGTCTATAGAAAATTACTTTATCCGTTGACAGACACTTGGGTTGTTTCCATGCCTTAGCTATTGTATACAATGCTGCAATGAACATGGTATTGCAAATATCTCTTCAACATACTGATTTCATCTCCTTTGGATATATGCCCAGCAGCTGGATTGCTGGATCATATGGTAGTTCTATTTTTAATTTTTGGAGAAACTTCCATTCTGCTTTCCAAAATGACCATACCAATTTACGTTTCCACCAACAGTGTGCAAGGGATTCCATTTCTCCATCTCCTGGCCAACACTTGTTATCTTTTGTCTTTTTTATAATCGCCATCCTAAACTATGTAATTCTCATTTTACATTTCTTTTATTGTACACCAGAAAGATGATATGTCATTTGAAAAAGAGCGTGCAGCTCATGTATGTTTACTGCAGCACTATTCACAATAGCAAAAACTTGGAACCAACCCAAACGTCCATCAATGATAGACTGGATTAAGAAAATGTGGCACATACACACCATGGAATACTATGCAGCCAAAAAAAGGATGAGTTCATGTCCTTTGCAGGGACATGGATGAAGCTGGAAACCATCATTCTCAGCAAACTATCACAAGGACAGAAAACCAAACACCACATGTTCTCACTCATAGGCGGAAATTGAACAATGAGAACACCTGGACACGGGGTAGGGAAACATCACACACGGGAGCCTGTTGTGGGGTTGGGGGTAGGGTGAGGGATAGCATTAGGAGAAATATCTAACGTAGAGAGTTAATGGGTGCAGCAAACCAACATGGCACATGTATACCTATGTGACAAACCCACACGTTGTGCACATGTACCCTAGAACTTAAAGTATAATTTTTAAAAATTCAGTAAATTATGTGTAAACAGAAAAAATAAAAATAAAAGAAAAAAGAGTGCGCAGCTATGGGGAAAACTATAATTGATTTGTACAGATACTGTAAATGTGTGCTATTATAAGATACATATTTGGTCTTTGACTTCATTTCCTGACATATCACTCTTAAACTCCTTAGACTCTCCAACGTGATGTCGTTTTGTATGCTAAGGAATTGAAGCCCATAGGGGGCTTCAGGATAGGGACTGGTCACAGGAAAGACCAAGGCACGTTTAGAGAGTTGAGACTTGCAGCCCCACCCGCAACCTGTGGAGAGGGGAAAGGGGCTAAAGCTTAAGTTGATCATGAATGGCCAAAGGTTTACATCATCTCTAAGTAATGAAGCCTCCATAAATTCAAAAAGGACAGGGTTTGGAAGGGTTCCGAATAGCTAAATATATGGAAGTTCCTGGATGGTGGCACTCCTGGGGAGGGCACAGAGGTGCCATACATACCCCTTCCTCCATACCCAGCCTTATATATCTCTTCATGTATACTCTTTGTAATATTCTTATAATAAACTGGTAGACAGACATATTTCCCTAAGTTCCATGAGCTGCTCTAGCAAATTAATCGAACCCAAGTAGGGCAGTGGCATGGGAACCCCATTTTAGAGCCAGTCAGTTATAGGCACAAGTCAGACAGCTTGGAGCTTTTAACTGGCATCTGAAGTCGAGGGAGGCAGTCTTGGGGACTGAGCCCTCACCTTTTGGAATCTGACACTATCTTTAGGTAGATGGTGTCAGAATCGAATCAGAAGACACCCAACTGGTGTTCCCTGCAGAACTGATTGCTTTCTTGTTGGTGGGAAAACTCTCACACATTTCATCGCAGAATTCTTCTGTTGATTGTTGTTGAATGAAAGAATAGAAAAAAATAAAACACTTTGAGTTTGTTTAGAACATGTTTGTCAGAACATGTTTTTTAAGTTAAATGTCATTGTTATAGACAAAACTGTATAAAGGAATTCTATGTTGACAGGAAGTGAAAAATTTAACCAAGGAGGAAAAGAAGGAAAGAAACAGTATTTCTATTTATCTGTATGATGCCTCTTGAATTTAACTAAGATACCTGTATAAAGAGGCACTGGAATTGTTCTTTGGCATGTGTTTCTATTTCTCTCTCACACTCCAGAAGATGCTTCAGCTTCAATCCCTACAACATTGAATATTGTGGAACTTAAATGAAAAGCAGAGAAGCCCCACTAAGATTTTCATTGTGTTTAGATGGTGTTTTACATTACATTTTCTGAATTGGTTTCAGTTCTTATAAAACACTGCCAGCCTGAGAATTTTAGAAAGCAAACCTCTTCTGTCTATTCATGTGAAGAAAAATAAAAGAGAAACAGCATGGTACATGTGAAATGTAAACAAGTGGTTTGGCCCTGTTCCACATAACAAAGGATAATGTAACCATCAATACAATTCAGTTGGGATCTTTTTTTAAACCTCCATAAGAATATCAATAAAAGAGTTATATTTTATAATACAGAAATGTAACTATGAGAATTTAAAATTAGATTACCAAAGGCAATTGAAATGCCCAAATCTCAATATAATCATTAAATTGTAAGGATGTTTAGTTATTCTTTGAAAGTTACCAAAACCCCCCAATCATCATTTCTACAGGAAATCATTATCTGTTAAACTATTCTAGTTTAGCAAGTGTTGACAGATCTTATTGTTGTTTAAAAATAAGTTATCTGCATTATATTAGTCAGGGTACTCCAGAGAAACAAAACATATATATATATATATACACACACACACACATACACACACACACATATATATACATATATACACACATATATATACACACATATATACCCACACATATATATATATGGAAATAGATTTAAGGAATTATCTTATGGGATTCTAGTAAGCGACAAGTTGGAAATCTATAAAGGCAGTCTTGCAGGCTGGAGGCTCAGAGAAGAGTTGATGCTACAGTCATAAGCCTGAAGGCAGTATAGTGACAGAATTTCTTCTTCCTTGTTGAACCTCATTCTCTCTTAAGGCCTGCAAGTGATTGTCTGAGGCCCACCCAAATTATGAAGTGTAATCTACTTTATTCAAAGTCTATGGATTTAAATGTCAATCATGTCCAAAACATACCTTCAAAGCAAGATCTAGACTGATGTTTACCCACACATCTGGGGACCAGGAAACTAGCCAAGGTGATACATGACCACCACACACCTATCATTTTCTTAATATTTATGAAAGCAATTTATCTAATAATCATTTAAACCTCTATAACCCTTTTTATTTTTCATTCACACATTTAACATCTTTAAAATCAATTTATATTTCACCCCATATCAAGTTGTGAATGTATGGATCTCTGTAAGCCAAGGGACCATTTTATAAATTTTTTTTTATGGTTCCACTATTTCCAGTATGACTGGATTGCAGGATCAAATCTCTAGCTTGCCTCCATCCATCCCCAGTAAGTCAACATATCCTTCATTAGCAATTTCTATTTATTGTGCTCCTAGACCTCCAATTTTTCTAAATCTTATTTTATTACATTTTCTTTGATAAATTCTGTTTCACTGATTTTTTTTGATAAGTTCTTTTTTTCCTTGGAACTATTTTTTTTTCCATTTTCAACCTAACGTACTCTAGAGTTAACCAAAATGAGTTTGCAATTACAAAGTGATTACCTTCCTATAAAAATCATTCCAGCTTTGGCTAAAAGTAAACAGTAACCTGCCCAATATACAAATCCTCATTATGAATTCACTGGCTCCTATCTTTAATGAGTATATAATCCCCATATGTATTATTCTATTCTCACACTGCTATAAAGACATACCTGAGACTGGATAATTTATAAACAAAAGAAGTTTAATTGACTCATAGTTCCACATGGCTGGGGAGGCCTCAGGGAACTTACAATCATGACAGAAAGCAAAGGGGAAGTAGACACATCTTCACATGGCCGAAGAAGGAGACAGAGAGCGAAGTGGGGAGTGTTATATACTTTTAAACAACCGGATCTCAAGAGAACTCACTCACTCTCATGAGAACAGAAAGAGGAAAGTCCGATCCCATGATTCAGTCACCTCCCAAGGGGCCCTTGCTCCAACACTGGGGGGTCATAATTCAACATGAAATTTGGGTGGGGGAAACAGAGCCAAACCATATCACCATATCATAAATATATAAATAGTTCCTTTAAGATACAAATGTACAAATAAAGAAAGAAAAGGGTCATGATTCAGTTTTTATTTACTTCCCACTGGTGCAGGGATAACGAATAAATAGAGGCATAAGGTACAGTGATTGGACATTGCTCATCTATCCCAAGACACTGTACAATAGGATACTTGAATACAAGTCACTAATTACTTTCAATAGGCCAATTGCTTCCAGAAAAAAAGGAAACAAATAAATATTCCACTTTAGCTAATTCACGGAAAACATTATGAACGTTAATGAATTCCTTTCACACGTCCCGTATTTCAAACTAGATCTCCAGGATAGTAAAATGCCATTAAAATGTTGTAAGGACATGGCACAGTGGGAAGAGTATCAAGACTAAAGTCAGATGATGTGAGAACTGCTTGCAGATTTACAATTTGCTCATTGTTTAGCCTGACTACTACTGCCTCTTTAGAAAGCTGAAATTGAGCCGGGTGTGGTGGCTCACACCTGTAATCCCAGCACTTTGGGAGGCCGAGACTGGTGGATCACAAGGTCAGGAGATCGAGTCCATCCTGGCTAACACTGTGAAACCCCATGTCTACTAAAAATACAAAAATATTAGCCAGGCATAGTGGCAGGCACCTGTAGTCACAGCTACTTGGGAGGCTGAGGCAGGAGAATGGTGTGAACCTGGGAGGCGGAGCTTGCAGTGAGCTGAGATCACGCCACTGCACTCCAGCCTGGGCGACAGAGCGAGACTCCATCTCAAAAAAAGAAAAAAGAAATCTGAAATTCTCCATCTAGTACATGGAGCTATAAAGCTTTGCCTGAATGCATTGTTCTGAGTATCAGCTGTCCAATATTTTTGGTTTTTTATTTAGAAATAAACTTTTAAAATAAATTATTTAAATACGAATTGTCATGTAATTTTAGATTTTCTTTCTTTTGTTTTTTGTTACTATTGTTGTTGTTGTTTGAGATGGGGGTCTTACTCTGTTGCCCACGCTGGAACGCAATGATGTGATCATAGTTCACTGCAACCTCAAACTCCTGAGCTAAAACGTTCCCCCTGCCTCAGCCTCATAAGTACCTGGGACTATAGGCATGTGCCAGAATACCTAATAATTTTCTTTCTTATACATGCTACTTGATATCTAATTGGATGTTTCTTAAAACAGTTAAGCTTTTGAATTATGTACAAATGAATAATTTAAGCTATTTTTAAAATTCTGTGTTCCTTGTGTAATGTAAAGGACCCTATAACAGTGTGAATGATTACATCCACCACTATATCATTTTGCTATAAGATGGTGATATAGTTTGGCTGTGTCTTCGCCGAAATCTCAACTTGAATTGTATCTCCCAGAATTCCCACATGTTGTGGGAGGGGCCCGGGGGAGGTAATTGAATTATGGGGGCCAGTCTTTCCTGTGCTATTCTCATGATAGTAAATAAGTCTCACAAGATCTGATGGGTTTATCAGAGATGTCCACTTTTGCTTCTTCCTCATTTTTCTCTTGCCACCACCATGTAAGAAGTGCCTTTCGCCTCCTGCCATGATCTGGGACCTCCCCACCCATGGGGAACTGTAAGTCCAATTAAACTTTTTCTTCTCAGTCTCAGGTATGTCTTAATGAGCAGCATGAAAATGTACTAATACAGAAAATTGGTACCAGTAGAGTGGGGCATTGTTGAAAAGATACTGGAAAATGTGGAAGCAATTTGGAACTGGGTAACAGGTAGAAATTGAAACACTTTGGAGGGCTCAGAAGAAAAGAAAATGTGGGAAAGTTTGGAACTTCCTAGATACTTGTTGAATGGCTTTGACCAAAATGCTGATAATGATATGAACAATAAGGTCCAGGCTGAGATGGTCTCAGATGGAGATGAGGAAGTTTTTGGGAACTGGAGCAAAGGTGATTCTTGTTATGTTTTAGCAAAGAGACTGGCAGCATTTTGCCCCTGCCCTAGAGATCTGTGGAACTTTGAACTTGAGAGAGATGATTCACTTTGCGTGGTGGAAGAAATTTCTGAGCAGCAAAGCACTGAAGATGTGATTTGGGTGCTGTTAAAGGCATTCAGTTTTATCAGGAAAGCAGAGCATAAAAGTTTGGAAAATATGCAGCCTGACTATGCAGTAGAAAAGAAAAACCCATTTTCTGGGGAGAAATTCAAGCTGGCTGTAGAAATTTGCATAAGTAGCAAGGAGCCTAATCTTAATCCCCAAGACCATGGGGAAAATGTCTCCAGGCCATGTCAGAGACTCTCAAGGCAGCCTCTCCCATCACAGGCCCAGAGGTCCAGGAAGAAAAAATGGTTTCATGGGCCAGATCCAGGGTCCCCATGTTGTGTGCAGCCTAGAGACTTAGTGCCCTGTGTCCTAGCTGCTCCAGTTGTGGCTGAAAGGGGACAACGTACAGCTCGGGCTGTGGCTTTAGAGGGTGGAAGCCCCAAGCCTCGGCAGCTTCCACATGGTGTTGAGCCTGTGGGTGGACAGAAGTCAAGAACTTAGGTTTGGGAACCTCTGCCTAGATTTCAGATGATGTATGGAACTGCCTGGCTGCCTAGATAAAAGTTTGCTACAGGGGCAGGGCCCTCATGAAGAACATCTGCAAGGGCAGTGCAGAAGGGAAATGTGGGGTCAGAGCCCCCACACAGAGTCCCTGTTGGGGCACTCCCTAGTGTAGCTCTGAAAAGAGGGCCACCGTCTTCCAGACCCCAGAATGGTAGATCCAGCAAAAGCTTGCAACTTGCACCTGGAAAACCCACAGACACTCAATGCCAGCCCATGAAAGCAGCCAGGAGAGAGGCTGTACCCTGCAAAGCCACAGGAGTGGGGCTGTCCAAGACCATGGAAACCCACCTCTTGCATCAGCATGACCTGGATGTGAGAACTTGAGTCAAAGGAGGTCATTTTGGAGCTTTAAAATTTGACTGCCCCACAGGATTTTGGACTTGCATGGGCCCTGTAATCTCTTTGTTTTGGCAATTTCTCCCATTTGGAACAGCTGTATTTACCTAATACCTGTACCCTCATTGTATCCAGGTACTAGCTAGTTTGCTTTTGATTTTCCAGACTCATAGGCAGAAGAGACTTGCCTTCTCTCAGATGAGACTTTGGACTGTGGACTTTTGGGTTAATGCTGAAATGAGTTAAGACTTTGGGGGACTGCTGGGGAGGCATAATTGGTTCCGCCAGGGGTGGAATGACATAGTTTGGCTGTGTCCCCATCCAAATCTCAATTCGAATTGTATCTCCCTGAACTCCCACGTGTTGTGGGAGGGACCAAGGGGGAGGTATTGAATCATGGGGGGCCAGTCTTTCCTGTGCTATTCTCCTGATAGTGAATAAGTCTCACAAAATCTGATGGGTTTATCAGGGGTTTGCTCTTTTGCTTCTTCCTCATTTTTCTTTTGCCACTGCCATGAAGAAGTGCCTTTCACCTCCTGCCATGATTCTGAGACCTCCCCAGCCATATGGAACTGTAAGTCCAATTAAACCTCTTTTTCTTCTCAGGCTTGGGTATGTCTTTATCAGAAGCGTGAAAACAGACTAAAACAGATGGTCAGTGCTGTTTAAAAGTACAGAAGACTATCCCAAATGGGAGATGAGGAATATCATAGTACAAACAAAGCTTTTTCACATTTATCCTGGATTATTTGGTGGGGTCTAAATGCCATCATAATTGTCATCATGAGAGGAAGACAGAGATTTGACTCATGTACCATAGAAAGGTATTTTTATGGAAAACACAGATTCAAATAAGATAAAACTACAGGGATTTGGGGTCAAACAAAACTTTATGACCTTAGGCAAGTTATTTAACCACTGTTAGCCTCTGTAGCCTTTTATGTAAAATGAAGAAAACATAGCCTAATTCATGCAGTTATTCAAGGACTGAATGTCATCTCAAGAGGAAGATGCCTGGCACAAAGTAGAGGCTTATTAATTCCCATTCTCTTTGAGCCCCTGCCATAAAGAATGCTCCATTCAAAAAAAATGTACATTTAGTTTTTTGAAGTTTCCTAATACAGGTCATCTATTGTTAATCTCAATTGCTTTAAAAAAAATGAACAAGTTTGCATAAAAGTAGATTGTTTAAGGTCAAATTACAGCATAAAGTTGATATCTGGTAAAATATCAACAAGATAACTATAGTGCGACTCTAAGAAGTCTCAATTATGCATTTTTAAGTAATTCTGTCTACTAAAACATTCTGTGAATACAGAAATGTTCTGTATCTGCACTGTCCAATACAGTAGCCCCTAGCCACATGAACACCTGAAAGGTGGTTTAACACAACTGAGAAAGTGAATTTTAGTATTATTTAATTTTCAACTAATATCACTTAAAATGTAAATGATTCCATGAGGCTAGTGGCTATGGTTTTAAATAGCGCAGATATAAAGTATTCTTTAGTTCTAGACTTTATTTTATTTATTTTTGACCTTAAAGTGAAATACATAGAAAGCTGTCAATAAGAATATAGAAAGTATGAGATATAAAAACTGTGAGCATTAGATAAAAATAATGGTGACCAATCCAGGTAAGAGGAGTTACAAAAGAAAGACCTCCTAGAGCAAGTAAAACTAAGCCAGAGCTTACAGATGAGAATAGAGATATGAGGAGATAAGTATAATATTGTACATATTTTGAAAGACTTTTCTTTAAAATATTAACATTGGATTCCACTGGGTGATAAAATCTCAGTTACTTTTTACTTCCTAGATGGATTTTTTTTATAATTGTTGATGTTTTTAGAAATAACGTTTTTAGAAACCACATATCAAACAAAGGACTAGTATCTCCAATGCATAAAGGACTTTCAAAACTTGATAGCAAAAAAAATCTAATTATAAAATAGACAAAGGACATGAACGGGTATTTCACTGATGAGCATATACAGATAGTAAATAAGCATATAAGAATATGTTCAACAGCATTAGCCTATTAGGGAAATGCAAATTAAACACATGAGATAGCACTGTAGACCTATCAAATTAGCTAGAATAAAATTAGTGACATCAAATGTTGGCTCACTCATACTCATGAACTGAATCTTTTACACATTGCTGGTGGGAATATAAAATGGTACAGCCATTCAGGAAAAAAATTTGTAATTTCTTATAAAACTAAACATGCTATTATTATAAGACCCAACAATTTTCCTCTTGGGAATTTATACCAGAGAAATGAAAGCTTATATTCATGCAAAAACCTGTATCCTAATGTTCACAATAGCTTTACTGAAAATAACCAAAAACCAGAAACAACCCAGATGGCTTTTTACAGGTGAATGGTTAAACGAAAAGTGATGTATCTATGCAATATAATGCTACTCAGCAATAAAAAGGACAAACTATCAATACATGCAACTTGAATAAATCTCAAGGGAATTATGCTGAGTGGATTTTTAAAAAGTTACATACTACATGATTCCATTCATACAATATTCCCAAAATAGTAATAAAGAACAAGTCAGTGTTTTTCAGGAATTACAAGGAAAAAGCTGTGGAAGGAGATGGGTATGGTCATAAAATGGGAAGACGAGTGACCCTTGTAGGGGTGTTCTCTATTATTATTATTTCTTTTTTTTGAGATGGCGTCTCGCTCTGTTGCCCAGGCTGGAGTGCAGCAATGTGATCTTAGCTCACTGCAACCTCTACCTCCGGGGTTCAAGTGATTCTCCTGCCTCAGCCTCCAGAGCAGCTGGGACCACAGGCACATGTCATCACGCCTGGCTAATTTTTGTATTTTTAGTAGAGACAGGGTTTCACTATGTTGGCCAGGCTAGTCTTGAACTCCTGACCTCAGGTGATCCACCCATCTCAGCCTCCCAGAGTGCTGGGATTACAGGCATGAGCCACCGCGCCCAGCCCAGTGTTCTCTATCTTAACAGTGGTGAGTCAAGCATACACAAACCCATACATGTGTGATAAAATTGCACACAACTAAATACACACACACACACACACACACACAAATGAAAACAAGTAAAATTAGTGAAATCTAAATAAGACCAGTAGATTGTATCAATGTTATTATCCTAGTTGTGATATTTATTACAATCATAAAAATCTCACCAAGCAGGGAAACCTAGGTAAAGTGTACATGGAATCTCCATATTACTACTTACAACGGCCTGTGAATCTATCATCATCACAATATAAAGAGTTTAATGAAGGAAAAAGAGCTAATGCATGTCAGGTTTAATACCTAGGTGATGGGTTCATAGGTGCAGCAAACCACCATGGCACACGTTTACCTATGTAACCAGCCTGCCTATGTAACAAACCTGCATATGTACCCTGGAGCTTAAATAATAACAATGATTTTTTTAAAAGTGTAATGTGAAGAAAATAAATATGAGACCTGTATCTGGTTAAGATGTAAAAAGTTATCAAGAAAAACTTTTTTCTACCCTTAATAATAATGAGAACCAAGCTGGATAAGCTGTAAAACTATAGATTAAAACACACATCACAGAACTTAGTATGCAAAAAACCCTAATGGTACTAGAAAATTAGACCCTCCTAGAAGACAACAGACCCACAGCTGTTTGAATCCTTGAAACACAGCAAGAAGATGATTCCACCATTAATGAAGGCAAGAATAATCCAGATGGACTTTCAGCATACCTTTAACAGCCATTTACAGGCTCTCATGAGAGATTACCATACTGAGGAGCCCCAGCCAAGAGACCTCTACCAAGCGTTAAGGGCCTATACACCAAAGGCCAGGGAAGGGCAGGAGGTTTGAAAGTGACCCACCTCGAGGTGTGCAGGGCCTTTGCCAAGTGCAGGGACATGGCCCAGTACAAATCAGGAGCAGGGCAGAATAGCTGAGAGAATCCCTCAAAGTATGCCAGGGCTTCACGAAATGCACAGGAGCTGCTCTACAAATGCTGAGCATGAGAGGAAAGCTGAAAAAATCCCCCCAAGATACTCTAGGACTTCAAGTGCACTGGAGTTGCCCTCTGATGACTGGAGACAGAAGAATAGGACAGAAAGAGATCTCCAAAGGTGCAGAAAGCTACGGGAAGGACAGAGGAAGTAAAAGAACTTCCAAGTTCTCCAAATACTACCAGCTGCACTACGTAAAGCAGAGAAATTTGCTTTGTGGAATTAGCCTCGTGAACTTTGGTAGTTTCGATGTAAAACATAGAGCGATTTCTGGAGTTGCGATGATGGAATCTTGATCACAAGCTCTGCTAATGAAAAGATCCTGATCTGTTGGCAAAAAATATATTTAAAGCCTGTGGTGATTTCCATCTAACTAACACTAAACCTAAACCCAGTTCTACCACAGGTTACATTGACTCAGACTCCCACATTAATAGCTTAACTGGAGAAGGGATATTCTCCTTTGTGGGGGTACATTCTCATTTATTTCAGTCTCCCCTATTCTTTTATATATAGTTTCTTTTATAAAATTAAAAATTATGAGACATGACAAAAAAAGGCCCACCATCATCCAAGTATATAGTCCATAGAAGAAGGTTCATATACGCCCAAGATGTATACATTATCATACAAGACACTATGACAAATATGTTAAGTAATATAATAGAAAGGGTAGATAACATGCATGAAGAGATGGGAAATTTTATAAGAGTTGAAAAAAAAACCATATGGAAATACTATAAATGGAAAATATGTGATCAGAAATGAAGAATTCATACAATAGTCTTGATATCAGAGTGGAAAGAGCAGATGAAAAGATCAACGAACTTAAAGATAAGTCATTTGAAATCAGCCGCGCTGAAACTCAAAGAAGAAAACAATGCTGGGGGAGTGGGGAGGAAGATGAGCAAAGCCTGAGGTTTGTGAGACATTGTTAAACAGTAAAACACTTGTAATTGGTGCAAAGGGAGAAAGAGAAAAGGAAGCAGAAAAAAAAGAATGAGAATTTTCCAAACCAAAAGAAATGTATCAACCCAGAGAGCCAAAAATATCAGCCATAAAATTAAGAGAAGCCAAATAATGGACATATAATTATCAAATTCCTGAAAACCAAAGAGAAAGAAAATATACTAAAAGCAGTTAGAGAAAAACAGAATGCATTCCATATAGGGAAAAATATATATGAATTACAGCTATCTTCTCACTGAAATAATTGAGGCCAGAAAACAATAGAAAGGCATCTTTAAAGTACCGAAGAGGGAAAAAGAAACATCATATTGGAATTCTGTATCAAGAAAGGAAATGCTTCTGAGACAATCATTTAACTACAAACTCAAATTTAACCTAAATAGATAAAATGTTATTTTTAAATTAATATAAATAGCCTAGAAAGGATCATACTAAAATAAAGAGCTGATTTCAGGGTGGCAAAACCTTTCCATGTGTAAAAGCAGTACAGTATAAAAAAATCAAAGGAAAATACTGGTATCTAGTTATGCAAAATATAATACACAATGAATAAGATAAGCCTCATTAATTCTCCAGTAGGATAGAAAGACATTAAATGAACTAATAACCCACAAAATAAAATTAGTTAATAAAACAACTGAAAAAGTTAACTTCCTCAAAAGTAGCAACAAATATTAATTAATAGAAACTTTTTCAGTAAAATTAGCAAAAATCTAAAAATAGTTATATCCATTATGGAAGGGATACAGTGAAGCTGGAATCTGTGGAACAATCTTGGTGGGATATAAATTAACACAACCTTTCTGGGAAACAGTTTAGCAAGACTTTTATAAATGTTTAGAAATTTTTTCCCAAAGACAAATTAAAATATGGGCAGATATTGTATTCAGCAAGACTATCAAAAATGCTTAGAAATGTTTTCCAAAAGAAAAATGAAAATATGGACAGAAATTATATATCTATAAATGTTTATCCTACTTCATGTTTAAAGAATCTGCCTGGCATTATGGTTATCAGTGGGGACTCTGGAACCAGACAGCATGGTTACAAAACCAAATTTTGCAGCTTCCCAGCTGGATATCTTGGGGCAAATCACATAACGTTTCTGTGCTCAGTTTTCATATGTGTAGATGTGAAAATAACAGCATCTATCTATGAGCTTGTTCCGTGCATTAAACAAGATGATATATCTAAAACATTAGAGCAGCTCTTACACAAAATACACACAATATAAATGATTGCACAATACAAATGATAGCTATGATTATTGTATTTATAATTAAACAATGGAAATAGCATGACTTTCATAATAATAATAATATATGTACATAATTTTCTATAGCTGTGAAATATTTTTCCAAAGAATATTTAACATGATAAAACAAAAATGAAACAAAACTTTATATATAGTATGTTTTATATGTAAGAATGTATAAACAGAGGAAAATATATGAGGTAAATACTTCAAATATCATTAGAAATTATGTAGAAATGGTGATATACAAGTGATAATGACAAACCATATTGGCTTGCTTAGGTAATGACATTTATTACCAGGTAGGATCAGAAATACTACAACTAAATTATTAATTCATTTTATATCTAAAGAGTAATCTTGTGTACTCAAGCTTCTTAGATACATCTGATATAAGTACCAGAAATCCAGGTAAACTAGATACCTGGTCCAATGCCCAATATAAAGCATATACAAAGATTATAATAAAATAGATCATGACTAATTTTTAGTATTCCCATGTGACTAAAATGGCTTTGAATAAAAATGTTACTTTAGAAAGAGTTAAGAAATATGATTAGTAATAGTTTAATATAAAACTCTTTTGAGCATTTAGTGTTATATTAATATTGTCCTAATGTAACATGAAAAACAAGGTCTCAAAATGAAATATTGCTTTCCCAGAATTCTAAAATTAGGTTATTAATCACATCAACTTTTCATGAATATCTATTATAGCATGACTTTTTAAACAGTAAAACTTTTCATAAGAATGCCTATGCAAATATGACTATCTCACTATTTGATCCTTAAAATATGAATATGTTAAGCCTTCTTTATGAGCACTTTTAAAGACCTAATTGAAGTAACTTCATAGAATATTTTGAGATAGTCTCACAGTGAACCCAAGTTTGTTTGCAAAAGTTTTTTTTGTTTGCAACAGTTATGTAGTAGTTTGACCTGGTATGAGCTCTGAGGATTGCATCCTTTATATTTTCAATTTAATAATAAAATATTCAAGAAGTGCTCACTACTATACCTGCAATTTTGGGGCATTAGAATAATAAATTTAAGACTTATAGGGAATATTAGTGGTAGCCTTATGCTACTCCTGCTTCTTACAGGAAAGATTCCAGTATCAACTGTGAACTGGTATTCCAGTCTTTGTCTCAACCTTCAAGGCTCAAAAAGCCTTTATAACATTTTACCAGACTGTCTATGACACATTTGGATTTGATTATCTTATGGATTATAGTATGGGATGGGGAACACAAGCTTTGAGGTCAGGCCAGGGCTAACTCGAGCTCTGCTGTTTTCTAACCTAATGATGCTTTTTGGGGGGCAAATTCCTTAATGTCCCAGCCCAGATCCTCAGCTGCCTATGTTTAAAATGGGTTAAATTTATGGAATGGCTGTGATTGTATATAGCACATTGACATAGAGTTTTTTACATTTAAATCCTTTATATTTTTATGTTACTTTTACAGGAAGATGTGAAGAACTGAATTAGATATATGTTTATAGTCAGTTGTCTGTAGCATATTTGTCATGGTTGATCCATCTTTTTGCAAATTTATTTGAAATTCCACCTTGATCAAATATGCCTATCATATCTCCTGGGCGTGACACAGAGCAGGCACTTAATAAATAGAACTTCATGTCCTCCTTCTACTGAGTTAAAACTTGCTTTCCTATAAATTCCATTGATCTATTTTGCCTGTCAGTGTACCAACAAAACTCATTTAATGAACTAAATACCCCTACTTCAGCCAGTCTTCACATGGCATAATTTCCAGTACAATGCCATCCTGTCTGCCCTCCTTTATATAAGCCATAATTGCCACTATTCGTCTAACAATATGGCTCATTGGACTGAACATTTTCTACCAGACATGTTTTCACAATTGAAGGGCCTGGGAAATAATATCTACCTTTGCTCTCAATACCTCCATTCTTTAAATGCAGTCTAATTTTATATTAGCATCTCTCACATCTAATTCATACTACGTTATACTAACAGTAAGTTTTGTTGTTAGCTAAAGCCATGATTCCTTTTTTTATGTGAGCTGTTTTTAAGCCAAATGTTGTCCATTTTGAAAACATTAGGTATTTTGGTATCTGATAATGATCTTTAAAAATGCCAAAAATCTAAAAATAAGAAGAAAGGTCACTTATCCTTTATCATATATTTTTGCTACATCTCTCATTCAAAGTCAAGACATTTTCTAAGGAGTTTGCTTTCTTTAAATATATATTATTTTAGTATCATTGTTTAAGATTGAAGAATATTTTAAATAATACTTTTCAATTAAGTATACTTTCAGAGTTTTCAGTATTCAACCCACTTTAAACATTTTTTGATAAGCTAAGAGAGCAAAGTTTCAAAAAAGTATATATGATATAATTTCACCTTGGAATATGAGTGCTGACTCACAAATATACTGCTATAGACTGAATGTTTGTATCTCCCCAAAATTCATATGTTGAAACCTAACCCCTCAATGTGATGGTATTTGGAAGTACAGTCTTTGGGAGGTGATTAAGTCATGAGAGTGTGGCTGTGATATTGTTTGGCTCTGTGTCCCCACACAAATCTCATCTTTAGCTCCCATAATTTCCACGTGTTGTGGGAGGGACCCAGTGGGAGATGACTGAATCATGGGGGTGGGTCTTTCCCTTGCTGTTCTTGTGATAGTGAATGGGTCTCACAAGATCTGATGGTTTTAAAAATGGGAGTTTCTCTGCACAAGCTCTCTTTTTGCCTCCTGCCACCCATATAAGATGTGCTTGCTCCTCCTTGCCTTCCGCCATGATTGTTAGGCCTCCCCAGCCATGTGGAACTGTAACTCCAATAAACCTCTTCATTTTGTAAGTTACCCAGTCTCGGGTATGTCTTTATCAGCAGTGTGAAAACAGACTAATACAGGTCCTCATGAATGGGATTCTTATAAAAGAGACCCCAGAGAGCTCCCTTCCTCATTCTGCCATGTGATGACAGAGCAAGAAGACAGATATCTATGAACCAGGAACTAGGCCCTTACCGTACACCAAATCTGCCAGCCCCTTGATCTTGAAATTCCCAGCCTCCAGAGCTATGAGAAGTAAATCTGTGTTGTTTATAAGCCACTCAGTCTATGGTATTCTCTTATAGCAGCCCCCAAAAACTAAGATATATACACATATTTGAAAATCTAGTATATGTCTATTTGATATATATAAAAATGTGTATACCAAAATACTAACCATGGTTACTTTGGGGCATTGGGACTTATGTTTTCAATGCTATTCATTTATATTTCTTATTTTTTTCTCAGCATTGGCATGTTTTGTTTTTATAATAGTATTTAAACTTTTAATTGGATAATCACCATAATAATCAAATAGTCAAATTATTAAGCAGGAAAACTTGGAAAATCAAGGTTTATGATTTAAATTATAAATCAAAGTCATCCATAAATAATTCATTATATTTTTAATTTACTTGATATTCATGTGCTTTTACTTTAAATATGTTTAAAAATATTTTATTCAAAGTCATTTTTTCTATGTCATTTAAGTCTTTAGACTTTTTCAAATACTCTGATATTTTGAGTATTTTCAACTTCATCAGAGGGAAGTGATTTTTACTTATTTCTTTGTTAACTACTTTGTCTCTGTATTATCCATAAACTCAAAGAGTTTGTTGGCATATAGATCTTACATGCTTTCAGAATTTTATGCAATTTTGTAATATCTGGCAGTATACCATTAATAGGATGAGTAAGAGACAATCAAGATAAAATATCTGGAAACCAGACTATACTGCAATAGAACAGGGAAAGTCATTACTAAAATCTATAGAAACAAGGGAACAAGATTAATGGATTTAAATATTCAATAAAGGCGATGAAACTGAAGGCATAACAAAAGCATTGTGATACTGTATTTTTCATTTTCTTCTCATGCTTAAATATATGTTTTATTTTAAATTATATTTATTATGCTCTAGTAAATTAATAATTACTCAACTTTAGAGAAGTAGTTTACTCCTAAGAGCAAATAGAATATAGTGAAAGAGAATGAACTTGGGAATCAGAAAACCTTGACTTAAATAGGCTACTTATTTACTCTCCTGTCTCAGGCAAAGTAATTGGCTTCTCTGATCCTTAATTTTCCCCCATGGAGTTGCTCTGAATTTTTAAATGATAGAATCTGTGCAAACCCGTATCACATAATAGAAACACAAATATATCACCTTTGTTTCTTCTTTCATAATAAATCCTATTCTACAAAAAAAAAGCAAAATAAAATAATATATTGCACTTTTAAACTGCTTAAAACCTTGGTATTCTCTGAGATTTAATCAAAGGACAGCGTTTGAGAAGATAAGAGTATCTGGGAAATTATCATAATATCTCCTTTATAAAAAAGGAGTTACAGAGGAAAAGGTTTCCAGTTAAAGTGGTATCTTACATCCATACACTTATGGATTTCCCCTACCAAAATGCCACAAAATGACAGTGAGGGACACAAAAAGTAAAACGGGCAATGAATACAGAGAAGTGACAACAGCAGTTAGGAATCATTAACAAAATGTTGGAAGATAAAAATAGCATGGAAGAGTAGTAACTGCCTTAGAGGAGAGTTGACTTGTTGGTTGTCAGATTTGTGAAACTTGAACAAAGTGCTGAGTTCCACATCTTGACTGACATGACATAGCCTAGGACCAGTATTCAGGAAGTTGGAAGTCCAGAAAGTAGAGGGGACAAAGTCACATCATGTCCCCACTACCAGCCTGTGGGTTTACAGAAATTTTGGGGAAGAGCCTTAGACTTCTGCAGATGGTGGAATTGGGTTTACATCTATTACATTTAAATATCTCAATTGAACAAGTAATCATCCAATTATTATTCTATGTATTCTTTGGTCTATTTCTGGAGTCTTTCTTTTTTTCTCTCTTGATATATCTCGCTATTGCATACTCCTGTGCTATACTATTTTAACTATGTGTAAGAATGTTCAGTATCTATTAGAGCAAGGTTATTAAGATTGATCTTCCTAGCTACTTTTATCAATCTGTTTTTCCAGGTTTACCTTAGGATTATTTGTTCTGTTTTGAAAGAAAAAAAATACGCGCCTTAAAACTTTGGAAACAGTTACATTCAATATATATACACAAGCATGTAAGAAATTGACTTATTTCAATTCTTGATTATTCCTATGAAACCATGTGATATATCCTTCCATTTGTTCAAGTTTCCAGGTTTTCTGTTTGGTTGTTTGCTTGTTTGTTTGTTTTACAGAGACAGTCTCCCTCTGTTGCCCAATCTGGAGTGCAGTGACAAAGTCATAGCTCACTGCAGCCTCAACTCCTTACCTCAAGCGATCCTCCTACTTCAGCCTCCCAAGTAGTTGGGACTACAGGTGCATGCCACCATGCCCAGCTAATTATTTTTTTTTTAGAGATGGGTCTCACTATGTTGTCCAGGCTGGTTTCAAACTCTTGGCCTCAAACAATCTTCTTCCCTCAGCCTCCCAAAGCACTAGGATTAAAGGCATGAGCTACCATACCCAGCATAAGTTTCTTTCACACCACACGGTGTTTTCATAATGTCTTATTATTTAAGGTTATATTAATTCCTAAGGTTACGTATTTATTTTCCACCACTCTGCATAACATCCTTTATTATTTGCTTTTATTTTCGAAGTAGTTGCTGTTATATAAGAACAATGCTAATATCTAACTATATTCTTTATTATTTCTAATAATTTGATTTTGTAGGCTTTATATTAGAAATTAATAATTCTACTGTCTAATAACTATAACTTCAATATATTTATCCAAAATATTAATAACCACTTATAGAATAATGTTATTAATGAATAACAATTATGGAATTCCTGATATTCTTCCTGACTTTATTAAAAATTCTTTTGGTATTTCAGAGATATAAATGATCCTAATAATGAATTTGGATTTTTAAAGTCACATAAGCAGTACCCTTTTGTGCTTTACATTTTTAAAATTCTGTCTGGTAGATACAAGGATGCTTTCATATTTAATGTTCATTTCAGAGATGTATAATTTTTTAAAGATTAAATATAAGGAAATATCTTCTCAATATCAGGAATTGAAGTTAACTTTTACAAACCCTTTTGAACATATTGAGAAGAACAATTGTTTTTTGTTATGCTATGATGAAATGTTATCAATAGATTTCATAACATTAAATTGTTCTGGAGATCTTGAAATAAATCCTATTAACTATGATATGCCATTTACTATATTATTAGACTGAATTTTATTTACATATTTTTACATCAATATTACTGAAGAATTAGTCTTCTTTTTCTGTGAATTCTCTATCATATTCTTGGCCAGAATAGTATGGTACTTGGGAAGCCTGTTTCCCTAATGTGCCACAACAGCCTGATTATTATTATTATTATTATTATTATTATTATTATTATTTTGAGACAGAGTCTCACTCTGTCCCCAGGCTGGAGTGCAATGGTATGATCTTGGCTCACTGCAACCTCCAACTCCCTGGTTCAAGCAATTCTCCTGCCTCAGCCTACGAAGAAGCAGGGATTACAGGCACACACCACCATGCCCAGCTAATTTTTATATTATTAATAGAGACAGGGTTTCACCATGTTGGCCAGGAGGGTCACCATCTCCTGACCTCGTGATCCGCCAGCCTCAGCCTCCCGAAATGCTAGGATTATAGGCATGAGCGACTGCACCCGGCCCAGCCTAATTATTAATTGTAAATATTAGCCTCCTAACCATCTGAATTAAATTGCTCACAATTTCATCTGGGTTTTTAAAAGTCTTTTTATTTGCTTGTTTTACAGAAGGGGTGGAGCTGGAAAATAAATGGTATTCTTGGTCAACTTTATTATTATTAATAAATTGCAGAGTTATTGATGATTCTTCCTTTCCTTGAGTCATTTTTGTTGGTTCAAATTGTTTCTAGAAATTTTAGTCAAAAAGTAAAGACATAATCTCTCATCATTCTGAAAAGCTCTACCATTCCTCTGAGTGTATTCACTGTCTTGTATATTACTTTCTCATGCCTGGAATTTCTCTCTCTTTCTCTCTGTGCTGTACTGATTTTATTGCTTTATTTTTTAATGAAGCATGCATAGTAAATATATTGATGTTTTTCTAAGTTATCTCCACTTTTATCTTTATCTCTCTTTTCTAGACTTCATTACTATTTTTCTAAGTTCTTGGCTTGAAGTGTAATTGATTTACTTTAAATCATTCTTGCTGAATAATAAAAGTGTTTAAGACCATATCCATTCTCCTAAATACACCAGATCTGAGAGCATAAGTATATGAGCCTTGGAGTCACAGTACCAAGGTTCAAATCTTGGCTTCACCATTTTGTTATACATACTCTGAGCTTTGATTTTTCTTGCTCATAAAATGAAAACAAAAAATAGCATTTCCCTAATGAAGGTAAGGCTAAATGAGATGATACTAAAAGTAACCAGCACATTACCTGCCATGCTATAAAGGCTCCATGCATTTTAGCTGTCGTGAGTGGTGCTGGGTGGTTCAGGGTGGTCCTAGCATTTAGAGCTGTAGCTTTATTTTATTCACTTGATATATAGCATTCTCACTGAGCCACTTCCTAAATATCTTGAAACTGCAGTTCTGGGATTCCATTCTGATTTTCTAACCCTGCCCTGCCAGGTTGGAAAATTCAACTGTCATAAGCCAAGCTAAAGGAAGCAGAAGAAAGAGGTAGCAAAGTAACACTACTCCCCTCCCTCCAGTGCTGTTCACCTGCCTCCTTTTAAGCTATCTAGTTAAACAAAGGGAGTGAGCAAACAACCAAAGTTAATTAATTCAAATGTTAGACCTAAAACCATAAAAACCCTAGAAGAAAACCTAGGCAATACCATTCAGGACATAGGCATGAGCAAGGACTTCATGTCTAAAACACCAAAAGCAATGGCAACAAAAGCCAAAATTGACAAATGGGATCTAATTAAACTAAAGAGCTTCTGCACAGCAAAAGAAACTACCATCAGAGTGAACAGGCAACCTACAGAATGGGAGAAAATTTTTGCAATCTACTCATCTGACAAAGGGCTAATATCCAGAATCTACAATGAACTCAAACAAATTTACAAGAAAAAAACAAACAACCCCATCAAAAAGTGGGCAAAGGATAAGAACAGACACTTCTCAAAGAAGACATTTATGCAGCCAAAAGACACATTAAAAAATGCTCATCACCACTGGCCATCAGAGAAATGCAAATCAAAACCACAATGAGATACCATCTCACACCAGTTAAAATGGCGATCATTACAAAGTCAGGAAACAACAGGTGCTGGAGAGGATGTGGAGAAATAGGAACACTTTTACACTGTTGGTGGAACTGTAAACTAGTTCAACCATTGTGGAAGTCAGTGTGGCGATTCCTCAGAGATCTAGAACTAGAAATACCATTTGACCCAGGCATCCCATTACTGGGTATATACCCAAAGGATTATAAATCATGCTGCTATAAAGACACATGCACACGTATGTTTATTGTGGCATTATTCACAATAGCAAAGACTTGGAACCAACCCAAATGTCCAACAATGATAGACTGGATTAAGAAAATGTGGCACATATACACCATGGAATACTATGCAGCCACAGAAAAGGATGAGTTCATGTCCTTTGTAGGGACATGGATGAAGCTGGAAACCATCATTCTTAGCAAACTATTGCAAGGACAAAAAACCAAACACCACATGTTTTCACTCACAGGTGGGAATTGAACAATGAGAACACATGGACACAGGAAGGGGAGCATCACACACTGGGGCCTGTTGTGGGGTGGGGAGAGGGGGTAGGGATAGCATTTGGAGATATACCTAATGTTAAATGACGAGTTACTGGGTGCAGCACACCAACATGGCACATATATACATGTGTAACAAACCTGCACGTTGTGCACATGTATCCTAAAACTTAAATTACAAAAAAAAAAAAAAAAAAAACAAAGTCTTAAGAGCTGAGCTTTCCTGCAAGAAGTTGCTGTTACGAATAACTTCAGGACAAAGGATATTAAACTAAAAGCTAACAGATGGTGCACTGATGTGAAGAGGTAAACACTGTGAGTGTGTGTATTAGCCTGTTTTCACACTGCCAATAAAGACATACCCAAGACTGGGTAATTTACAAAGAAAAAGAGGTTTAATGGACTCACAGTTCCATGTGGCTGGGGAGGCCTCCCAATCACGGCAGAAGGTGAAAGGCACATCTTCCATGGCAGTAGACAAGAGAGAAAATGAGAACCAAGCGAAAGGGGTTTCCCCTTATAAAACCATCAGATCTCATGAGATTTATTCACCACCATGAGAACAGTATGGGGGAACCACCCCTATGAGCCAATTATCTCCCACCTGGTCCCTCCCACAACATGTGGGAATTATGGGAGCTACAGTTCAAGATGAGATTTGGGTGGGGACACAGCCAAACCATATCAGTCTGTAATACAGTATCGAGACAAAAATCTGTAGCTGTAAAATTTATAGTTCTGTAGAGATTAGAAGCCCTTTAAGCATCTGAGGAAACAGACTTGCCAAATAAATAAATAAAATCTCCAGGATTGGCCAATATCAGTCTATGCCTATTCAGCTCCAAAGATAACCTCAAAATGGCACCAACAGGAAATGAGCTACACAAAATATGTAGCTACATAGTGTATGCATGGCCAAATGATTTGCTGTTGATCTGAAATTCAAGTTTAACTGAGCATCCTATATTTTTCCTTGCATGGGAATCCTCCCTAATACCCATCTTCTGTGTATCCAATGGATCCCAAGAAAAAGGGAAGATTCTCCAGTAGGAAATATCAGATGGCCAGCCACATTGGCTGACCAAGATTCTTCCTCTCCTACCTGGAAAAAGAGACTTCTCTATTTCTATACATTCATTACTTCCTCATCAAATATCAATTGACTAAATGCTACATGCCAAGAACCATTCTAATTTCTAAAGACATGGTAGTGAAGAAAAGTCCCTATCCTCAAGGATTTGTATTCTAATGGCAAGAGACAGACAACAAATATATAAAAAATATGTCAGTGGTGTTAAATAAAATGAGGAGCATAAGAGTGGAAGTCTATTTGATACAGGACAGACAAAGAAAGCTGGTCTATATTGGAGCAAAGAACTAGCTGGAAATGAGGGCATGGTCCAAGGGGATACCTAAGAGAAGAGTTTCCTGGAAGAGAAAACATTCAGCACAAATGAAACACAAAAAGGACTCCAGAATACAAGACCAATTAGTGACTGCTCTCATGCAGCTCACTTCCTGTAGAGACAGGCAATAAATAAACCCTTGAAAAATATTGCACATTGGCAATTTTTATATGTAAATCAATACAGGATGATGTTTTAGGAAGTGGCTCCATGTATCTGTTTTAGATTGAGGTGTCAGAAATTACCAAACTTAGGAGTTGAGATGAGGCTGTTTGAGACTGGCTGCGCCTGATCAGGCTGTCTCTGAAAGGTGGCAGAAGAGTAACTGTATGGGACAAACCTGATGAAAGACGAGGTAACCACCTGGAGAGCGCTAAAATGCAAAAGAACACATTTCATTGCCATCGTGATTTACATGGCTCAGCAGAAGTGAGGCAGGAGTTATTTTAAAAAACAATTGTGAACCGTATGCAAAAATAAGGGACAGAAAAACTGCTGAATCTAAAATGTTAAGAAAGCTTCGTTTTCAAAGTTTACTAGGGCAGGAAGATATGCCAAAACTGACTAAGATGTATTTGGAGAATTAGGAGCAGAAACTGTGGTATTTCCCTTTCTCTTGTCTAACTTTTATCCTTGACTTTCTCCATCTCTCACTTTTCTCTCCCTCTCTTGTTTCAATATTTACTTCTTTGCTCAGGACTCAGATTTTTGTCTCCCAAAATCTAAACACATACTACCTATGGAACAAAATAATATGCTGATCCATCAAACTGAACCACACCAAACCTGAACTCCTTATACCCAACACCCTCTTCCTGCTCTTGGAGATAATAACAGCATCCTGTTACCTGAGGTGGAAACCCAAAGCCACCTTTGACTTGTTCTTCCTCCCACACAGACTATAGCTTAACAGTGTCCTTGTCCACCCAACTCTACCTCCAAAAACTCATCCAACTCATCCTAGTCTCATTTGTTTTCATTCCTCTGGAACTCCCTGAGCCCCATCCCTAATCATGGATCACCTGAATGACTGCAGCAGCTTTCCTTTTTTCTTTTTTTTTGAGAGGGAGACTCCATCTCTGTTCCCCAGGCTGGAGTGCAGTGGTAAGATCTTCGCTCACTGCAACCTCTGCCTCCCAGGTTAAAGTGATTCTCCTGCCTCAGCCTCCTGAGTAGCCAAGATCATAGGCAGGCACCACCACGCCCAGCTAATTTTTGTATTTTTTTGTAGAGACGGGGTTTCACCATGTTGGCCAGTCTGGTCTTGAACTTTGACCTCAAATGATCCGCCCACCTCAGCCTCCCAAAGTGCAACTGCAATAGCTTTCTAACTGGCTCCCCTACAGCTACCCTGACCACCATTTCACTCCCTTCCACCCTCCTTAGAGTTATCTTTTTAAAAACACAAATATGGATATTTTACTGCCATATTTAAAAACACGATGATCTCCCAGATTCCCCAACCTACTACATTTCTGACCTTTCATCTCCACATGCTCCTGGCTATCCTACGCCCAGTTCACACCCTAGTTAATTATGGTGAAGTCCTTCCCCTTCCCTTCTTACATAAACCATCACATGCGGACCCATTGTGCTCAAATCCCTGCTCAACCAGTTCCCAGCCCACAAGACAGGTTGCTTTTTTCTCCTTTACTCGTTCACTCAGTCGGTCAACAAAATGTGCAACTTAAAATTTCCTGGGGGCAACAGAACAAAAAGTAAAGCAATAAATTAAAACTTTATTTAAGAATGTGATAAATACTATGAACTAAGCAAAAAAAAAAAAAAAAAAAATCTTTGGGTAGAGATTTCTGAAAAGACAATATTTAAGCAAAAATCCCAAGAATGAAAAGCAAACAGCCAAGACAAAACCAGGCGTGTGTGTGTGGCGGCGGGTGGGTTAGAGGTAGGGGGGTGAAAAGCATTAAGCGGGAGAAAAAAAAAATCTAAGATTAAAAAAGGCTTAGAGGCCACGGTAAGAGGTTTGAATATCACTCTAGGTGCAATTAGAAGTCCCTGGACAGTATTAGACAGGGGAATAAATCTTTACATTAAAATCAAAAGTAGGGGAAATGGCAAGAATTGGATTGTTTGTAACACAAAGGATACATTCTTGAGGTGATGGATACCCCACTTTCCATGATATGATTATCACACCTTGCATGCCTGTATCAAAACATCTCATGCACCTCATATATTCACCTACTATGTACCCACGATAATTTAAAAGAACAGAAAGAATAACTTTGTTTTCATTTCCACAATAAACAGATTGAATTTAGCTCTTTATAAATCCTCATGTTGATACCATCAAGCATGACCCCAAAACTGCTGCCCTGCCTTCCTTAGAGGGCAACATTCCCAATTCATTACCTTCTGCCTCTGAACTCTGTGCCTCAATAGATGGTACTTAAATGGAAAAGGATACAGGTTTCTATGGACTAATTTCTATAGACTAATTTGTGCATGGTTAGGAAGGTGAGTATATACCCCAATTACAGTCAGGCTGAATGCAATCAATAAGTGACTTGGGAGGCATGAAGAAGAGATAAGACATTTCTAACAACTAAAAAATTGTCATCTCTTCTGTGGGAATTACAACAAGTAGAAAAATAATGAGCCATTATTTAGAGAACAGTACAGGAATTAACAAAGTTGCTAGTCCAGATTAATTTGATGACTTTTTTCCTTTTTAGTAGAAAATTCACTGGTTTAAAAAAAAAAATATCTGAAGCATAAACTATATCTGACTTCAGTATAATAGCTGACACATAATTACCTACAGAAAGGTTTAAATCAAGTTTGTTTGGACAGAAATACAATTAAAATGACTCAAAGCTAGATCTATATATAAAACTGTAAAGTATAATTATAACTGGTCATACATCTTTCTTAATAGTAAAAAACAAGCATTGTTCCATAAAAGGCCATTATTTGTTTTAAATATCTTTAAAAAAAAACAACTTAGAGGACAGGAAAAAAGCATATTAATTTTTGCACGTATATATAAAAGGGAAGAAAATAAACAGAAAAGCAATAACTATTTGAAGAAAAAGACAGTAACGGGGGATTTTCAATAAGGACTTTGTTAAATAAATTTTTCTATTTTTAACTGTTGCGGGTACATATTAGGTGCATATATTTATGGGGTACATGAGATACTTTAATACAGGCATGCAATGTGTAACATTCACATCATGGAAAATGGGGTATCCATCCCCTCAAGCATTCATCTTTTGCGTTATGATTATACTCTTTTAGTTATTTTTGAATGTACTATAAATTATTGTTGCCATAGTCACCCTGTTATGCTGTCAAACACTAGATCTTATTCATTCAATCTATTTTTGTATGCATTAACCATCCTCACCACCCCACCAAGCCCCAACACCCCCACTACCATTCCCAGCCTCTGGTAACCATCCTTTTTATCTCTATGTCCATAAGTTCAATTGTTTTAATTTTTTGCTCCTACAAATAAATGAGGAAATGCGAAGTTTGTCTTTCTGTGCCTGGCTTATTTCACTTAACATAATGAACAGTTCCATTCATGTTGCTGCAAATGACATGACCTCATTCTTTTTTATGGTTGAATAGTGCTCCGTTGTGTATATGTACCACATTTTCTTTATCCATTCGTCTGTTGATAGACACTTAGGTTGCTTCCCAATCTTAGCCATTGTGAATGGTCCTGCAATAAACATAGGAGTGCAGATACCTCTTCCATATACTGATTTATCTTCTTTTGTGAATATACCTAGCCATGGGAATCAGAAGACCCAATTTCAAGTCAATAACATGCCACCTACTGAATATTCCTAGAACACATATGTTGAAATCGTTTATAATTTTACTTTTAAGCTTTTATTTGTATTCCTTTGCATAATGCAATTGTTTTTAAAATTCGTACTTAATACTAATATTGCACTTCCCAGTCATATTAGAGTCAGCTATAAAAGATTACAAGATCTAATTTTATTTTTTATTTATTTTTTATTTTTTATTTTTTTTGAGACAGAGTCTCTCTCTGTCACCCAGGCTGAAGTGCAGTGGTGCTATCTCGGCTCACTGCAACCTCTGCCTCCCGAGTTCAAGCAATTCTCCTGCCTCAGCTTCCCAAGTAGCTGGGATTACAGGCACCCGCCACCACGCCCAGCTAATTTTCGTATTTTTAGTAGAAACGGGGTTTCACCCTGTTAGTCAGGCTGGTCTCTAACTCTTGACCTCAGGTGATCCACCCGCCTCGGCCTCCCAAAGTGCTGGGATTCCAGGCGTGAGCCGCCACAACAAGATTCATTTGTTATCAGTGTTTGTTTTCCCTATTTTGGAAAGGAGTGTTCTGAATACAATTTGAAACAGAATAGACAGAGAAGACATTACAAAAAGATGCAAAGCACTGCAAGCTACCTGATGGGGAGTGGGGAGTATTCTAGGCAGGGAAAGAGCAAATGCAAAGCTCAGAAGCTGCAGCCTGCATTAGTGCTTGAGGAAAGCAAGGTGGTAACTGCTGCTGGGACAGAGTGAGGAAGTGAAGAGGAGTTATGGATGACATCAGAGAAGATGTCAAATTGAGTATAGGTTTGTAAGCCACAGCAGGACTCTTCTACCCTGTGAAATGGGTGCCATTGGAGGGCTTTGAGAAAAGGAGTGACATGGCTTGATGCTTCCTCAAGATCTTCCCGCCTACTGCATCAAGAATAGACTGCAGAGGCAAGGACAGAAACTGGGAGGCCAGGCAACACTGTCTAATTAGATTAAAAAGAATATTAATAACAGTGGCTTGGATGACTCTGTTAGCAGTGGAAGGGGTGAGATGTATTCAGATTGTGGATATATTTGTATTAGAGCCAGTAATATGTAGTCATATAAGGTAGGGTATGAGAAAAGAATTAGGAATCAAGGATGACTTCAGAATAGAATTCCCATTAATTAAGATGGGCAAGATTTTCAGTGAAGCAAGTTTGGGGAATAAAATCAGGAGCTCAGTTTAGTGCTTGAGATATCTATTAGAAATTCAAATAGCGATGTCAAGCACTTCGTTGGATATATTAGTCAGCAGTTCAGAATAGAGGTCTGGGATGAAGATAGCAGTTCTGATATTTGAAGCTGTATGATTTGGTGAGATAAGTTTTTAAAGTGAGAACAGATGAAAAGAAGAAAATAAGTAAGAAATGAACCCTGGTACAGTTTAGAGTTGGCACTGAAGGAGATAAGGAGAAATCAGAAAAAGATTCTAAGGCAGGGCAGTCAATAAGGGGGGAGAAAAAGCAAGAACTTTAGTATCCTGGAAGTCAACTGAAGAAACAAATTTCAAAGAGAAGGAGTGATCACCCTGTCCCCTACTGCTGACTAGTCTATTAAGATGAAGACAGAAAATTGGCTGCTGGATTTAACGATGTGGAGATCACTAGGGATATTGATAAGAAGTGTTTCTCTGAAGTGACACAGGTGAAAGTCTGTTGCAGTGGATTCAAAGAGAGTAGGGTGAGAGAAATTGCAGACAGCAAGGGTGTTAGCCCTTTTAAAGACATTTTTTATTCCATGAAAGGAAAATAAAAATGGAGCAGCAGCTGGAGAAAGTACATTCTAGAGTTGTTTGGTTGGTGGTGGTGTTTTTGATGAAAGAAATAAGAGCTTATTAGTATGCTGATAGGAAGAAGTAAAATAATAATAATAATTAATAAAAATAATAATAATAATAATAATGGAGCCAGAGAGAAAGGGGAAAATTCCTGGAACAATTTGCTTAAGAAAAAGAGAGGAGATAGATCTTGTGTACAAAAACAAGGGCTGGCCTTTGCAAGAGGCACAAACAGGTCATTCATAACAACAGAAAAGAAAACAGACCGGGCGCGGTGGCTCATGCCTGTAATCTCAGCACTTTGAGAGGCCGAGGCGGGTGGATCACGAGGTCAAGAAATAGAGACCATCCTGGCCAACATGTTGTAACCCCATCTCTACTAAAAATACAAAAATAAAAAATAAAAAAAAAATTAGCCGGGTGTGGTGGTGGGTGCCTGTAGTCTCAGCTACTCGGGAGGCTCAGGCAGGGGAATTGCTTGAACCAGGGAGGCGGAGGTTGCAGTGAGCAGAGACTGTGCTACTGTACTCCAGCCTGGTGACAGAGTGAGACTCTGTCTTAAATAAAAAAAAATAGAATGCAGCATATAACAGATACAGGCAAGAGGATAAACATGAGGGTAGAATCGTTTGCAGATTCTCCTCTATTTGCTTTTATTCTCTATGTAAAATAGGAACAAGTCATCAGCTAAGACTAAGGATGAAAGGGATATAGAACTTTGAGGAAAGAGAATAAGGAATGAAGCGAATGTCTGGGAACATGGAAGAGCAAATGGACAAGGGAGATACAGCACAATTTCAGGCAGCCTCGAGGGCCCCCTTGCGAGTTGGTTTTTTATTTCAAGAGCAGACGTGTGCACAGGTTCTCACTGATTTGTGGGGTCTAAAATCAAAACAATTAGACTCATGGAGATAGACAGTAGAAGGTTGGTTACCAGAGGCTGGGAAGGGTTGTGGGGAGTAGGGGAGAAATGGAGATGGTTAATGGGTACAAAAAAATAATTAGAAAGAATGAATAATACCTAGTATTTTATAGAACAACAGAGTAACTACAGTCAAAGGAATTTAATTGTACATTTTAAAATAACTAAAAATATAATTGGATTGTCTGTAACACAAAGGATAAATGCTTGAGGGCATAAATACCCCATTTTCCATGATGTGATTATTATACATTACATGCCTGTATCAAAATATTTCATGTACCCAACAAATATATACACCTAGTATGTACCCACAAAATTTAAAAGTTAAAGAATGGATGTTTTCTTCTTCCTCTGTTCTGCTGCACTTATGCAGGCATGGAGTAAATAAAAAGTTCAACAGGACTTGCTTTGACCAAAACAGTATGACAAAGCAAAAGAAGAGGATGATGATAATAATTAGCAATAGATCTAAGCTAGGTCAGTAAGGACATGAGTTCATGAGTGATTGAGAAACAGTGAAGAGATGGTAGGAATCAATGAGGTCAAGGAATTGTTACCGAAACAGTAGCAAGAGAAGCACTGGGGGGAAAGAGGTGGTGACGATAGCAGGTTGCTATACTTAAACTAACATTTTGGAGTTGTTTTGGTTATTTCTAATAATGAGAAACAAGGTATGTCCACGGAGTGGGTGGCTGACAGAACAAAGAGAACAAGATCATTGGAAGAAAGGAAACTGAGCAGTCAAAAAGTTAACACATTGGAAGGATGATCGTGATGGTTAATTTTATGTGGCAACTTGTCTGAGCTAAAGAATGCCCAGATAGCTGGAAAACATTATCTCTGGGTATGTCTCTGAGGGTATTTCTGGCAGATTTTAGCATATGAACTGGTGAGCTGAACTGAACAAAGCAGCTGGTACTCCACAATGTGTGGGCATCATCCAGTCTCTCAAGACTGGACTAAATAGACCAAAAAGACAGAAAAAAGGCGAACTCAGTCTCTCTGCTTTAGCTGAGACAGGCTGTCAGACATCAGTACTCCTAGTTTTAAGCTTACAGACTCAGACCAGGACTTAGACTGTGGCCCCTTCCCCACCCCAGATTCTCAGGCCTTCTGACTTGGACTGAATGACACTGCCAGCTTTCCTGATTCTCCGTCTTGCAGAAGGAAGATCATGGAACTTCTCGGTCTCCATAACTGTGTAAGCCAATTCCTGTAATAAATCTCATTTATACAGCTATGTATATATATCCAGTTTGTTCTATTTCTCTGGAGAACACTGAATAATACAGACATCTTTGTTATTTAAGTCACTAAAAATTATGATCACCAGGAAGTAGAGTTTGGAATTGGCAGTGAGCCAGGAATTTCAATTTTCAAGTAACAAAAAAGGATAAATTGAATATTATCCAACAAATAACTTTCCAACCAAGTGGGCAGAATATATAAATTTAATGTAATAGGGGCTAAAATAGAGATATCAACTGAACACCATGTAATAATAGAGAAAAAAACTAATTGCTAAGTATTCAACAGACATGAGTGAAAGCATGAATGAGCTATGTGTTTTGTGTGTGTAGTGAGCTGAACAGTGGTCTCCCAAAAAGACATATCTATCAGGAACCTGTGAGCGTGACTTTATTTGGAAAAAGAGTCTTTGCAGCTATAATTAAACTAAAGATCCTGAAATAAGAACATCCTGGATTACCAAGGTAGGCCTTAAATGCATTACTTATAGAAGACAGGAGAGGCAAAGACACCCACACAAAGAAGATGTGAAGACAGAGGCAGAGACTGGGGATGCCCAGTCACAAACCAAGCAGTCACCAGAGGAAGCTGGAAGAGGCAAGGAGTGGAATGTCCCCTAGAGCTTCAGGAGCAAGGGCAAGAAGTCCTGCTGACTTCTGGATTTTGGACTTCTGGCTTTCACAACTATGAGAAAATAATTTTTTATTATTTTAAGCTATTCGGTATGTGATGATTTGTTATTGAAAGGAATAAAAAAGGACAGGAGTTTGGAAAGGCATGAAGTTAATGTGGTTAGTGGAATATTATTCCAGGCAGTATATTCAAAGTAAGGAATAAAGAAGGGACATGTGGTTCTAGAATATAAAAGTAGGTTATATGCCGAATAGTTTGCAACATTTATAGCAAGACAAAATGTTTGGATTTTATTCTCAAAGATTCTTATAAAGCAATGAACATTTTAAAGAGAGTCATATAATAACTGTGGGGATAAAGGCAGAGAGGAGTAAACATAATTCATAATAATATGAAGTAGGAATTGGATTTTAAAAAAATCTGGTGACTTGGGGGCCAGTTATACAGATGGTGTATTAGCCGGGAAAGTAATGGTAATGGCCTAGTCTGACACAGAGGCCACAGGCTGGGGAAGAGATCATGGTAAGCTATAACTAATATCATTTCATGACTAGATGGCTCTCAGAGGAGAAGCAGAAGTTAAATTAAACACAGAGGTTTCCATCTTGTAGGACAAGAAACAGGTTAAGGTAGAGGTTGAAGCAGAATATGATTTTCATTTTGAAATTTGAAGGACCTATGGTGGGGGAAGGGGAAACTAGTAGACAAATGTGGAAAAAAAAAGAGTTTGGTAGGGGTAAGGGTGGAAATTCATATCTAGGTTTCAAAAGGTGAAGTGCTATAGAGAGATGGTGACTATAAACTGCAAATTTACTAATGTTCAAAATAAAAAGAAGAAACAAGAAGAAGCAGCAAAGAAGAAAGTTGTTTGACTATTTTCCCTGAGTGAAGTAACTTGTACATTTAGCTTTTTCTCTCTGGGCTGGACCTAGACAGGTCATAACGTAAGTTAAACGTGTATCCATCTTTTCTTCAAACAAGTATACTCAACTCCTATTGTGTTAAGAAATTGAAGCCAGGATTTAAAATGCAAGTTGGGTCATAACACCAGCAGTCAATGAATATTTATTTATCATTAGCTTGCCATATTGCTTAACTAATACTCACCCAAGCTAAATAATTAAATCTAAGAGCTAAAAAGTCTTGATAAGGATTATCAATTAAATAAAAACAAAATAAAAAACTTAAAACCCTAAGAGAATGCTACTTAAATATCCTAGTCTACCATCTGTCTATTTAACTCAAAGATCCAAAATCATTACCTTTCCTCTAAAAACCTAATTCTGAAATTTCTTATTTCTCTGTGGCACTCTTGTTTTTCTGAGTCCAGTCTTCAAAGCTAGAAATTTCTTCTCTTCACCTTCAAGAAAAGTACCTACTGACTCATCCTGCTGTATCTCACTCAAATTCACCGATTTAATTCTATTTCCATCCATCATCCCACTATAGCAACTTATTCTTAAACTCCCTGACCCCAACCCATCCCCTCTCCAATTATTCATTCTTCTGCGAAAATAAATGTTCTGATTTACACACCCTATCCTTTACCATAATAATAATAATCTCTTACCAAATAATCATTGTAGTGATTACGTGGCATTTAACTAAATATACAGAACAAGTGGGTATACAAAAGGAGTTGCACTAGGTGCAACCTAGGTGACTCACTCCCCCCTCCGCCTTTTTCTTTTAATAATTCATATATATGCATGTGGTACAAATTTCCAAAGATGCTTAAGAGTGATCATGAAAAACAGTCTCCTTCCCATCTATGCTTCTAATTTGCTTATTTCCCTACTCTGAGACAATTAAATTGATAACAGTAACTGCAAGTATTTTTGTATCTGTAACTACATTTCCATTTTCTCAGAGCAATTAGGTTTTGCTAAAATGTTCATAATATGAACATTTGTCTTATTAAAAGGAAGGTGGGGAGGCTATTTGGCTCCCTTAGACTATAAGATGCCATTATGATGGCAACTAAAACAATTTTAAAATGTGCTTATTTGGAATAAACAAAGAAAAGTTGAAGTAGCCTGTAAAATAATGTGAATGGTTTCTATGAACATTCACTATTCAAACTGAAATAATTTTTAAAGTAAAAAGAATTTTGTTGGACCTAACTTAACCATATTTATTAAGTGACAGACCTCAGACGTTATTCTGTACTACTTATTTCTATCTTTCTTTTAGGACTATCAGGCAAAATTCAGCCCCCAATATTTCACATAGGTTCTTTTCTATTTTTCCTAAGTGGCAGCCGGTCTGAGAAATAAAGGGACAGAGTACAAAAGAGAGAAATTTTAAAGCTGGGTGTCCGGGGGAGACATCACATGTCAGTAGGTTCCGTCATGCTCCACAAGCCCCAAAACCAGCAAGTTTTTATTAGTGATTTTCAAAAGGGGAGGGAGTGTACGAATAGGGTGTGAGTCACAGAGATCACATGCTTCACAAGGTAATAAGATATCACAAGGTAAATGGAGGCAGGGTGAGATCACAGGACCGGGGCAAAATTAAAATTGCTAATGAAGTTTCGAGCACACATTGTCATTGATAACATCTCATGAGCAGACAGGGTTTGAGAGCAGACAACCGGTCTGACCAAAATTTATTAGGTGGGAATTTCCTCGGCCTAATAAGCCTGGGAGTGCTACAGGAGACCAGGCTTATTTCATCCCACAGCTACGACCATAAAAGACAGCCGCCCCCAAAGCGGCCATTTTCGAGGCCTCCCCTCAGGGACACATTCTCTTTCTCAGGGATGTTCCTTGCTGAGGAAAATAATTCAGTGACATTTCTCCCATTTGCTTTTGAAAGAAGAGAAATACAGCTCTGTTGGCCTGGCTCACCAGCAGTCAGAGTTTACGGTTATCTCTCTTGTTCCCTGAACATATTGTTCAAACACACATGCTCTACAAACAATCTGTGCAGTTAACACAATTATCACAGGGTCCTGAGATGACAGACATCCTCCTCAGCTTACGAAGATGACAGGATTAAGAGATTAAAGTAAAGACAGGCATAGAAAATCACAAGGGTATTGATTGGGGAAGTGGTAAGTGTCCATGAAATCTTCACAATTTATGTTCAGAGACTGCAGTAATGACAGGCATAAGAAATTATAAAAGTATTAATTTGGGGAACTAACAAATGTCCATGAAATCTTCACAATTTACGTTCTTCTGCCATGGCTTCAGGCGGTCCCTCCGTTCGGGGTCCCTGACTTTCCGCAACATAGGACCTAACTGAAACTCCTTCAACTTACCTTGGGGAATCACTTCACTCTTCTAATCTCCCCTAGCAAATGACATTTTTTTGGAATTATAAAGAAACTTACAAGCGGGTTAGTTTATAAATTGAAAATCAAGCATAGTACAGTCTAAATAACACTTTCAAACCTCTTAACTTACCCCTAAAATACAGAACATCAGTTTTACATCAAACTTAGCCCTAGGAGATGCTTCATACTGAGAAAATCATCATGACCATATATGCCATAATAGAAACTTGGAACAACAGGTTCCTTTCTCCCATTGTATATACCCTCTGGGTCATACATATATGTATTTCTCTCTTCCTATCCATCCCTCCACTCAAAACTTATAGTGGAATTAAATGTGCATATAATGCATTTTCTCCAAGTATGCTATCTTGTTCATTTTTTATACATCTATCTCCTTAGTCATATTGTAAGTATCCCCGTAAAAAAAAAAAAAACCTGTTTAAATGTCCAGTGTTCAAATGTACACATGGTATTCTCTTGGCAAATACTTTCTGCTTACTATATTTGGTAGGATAATCCTAACATATGGGTTCCTTCAGTGAGGATAAAAACAAGGACCGAAAATGGGGCCTGAAGGAATCCTAAAGACAAGCTTTATCTGACATAAACATCTGATCTATAAAGGAGAAGTAGAGATAATAGATTTTTTAATCATGTAGCATGTAGTTAAAAGTTCAACATCTTACCTCAAAAATAAGCTAGTCCATGAAACACTCAATGCTAAATAAAGATGCTAAAGGCTCCCAGAGAATTTCACCCCAAAATATAACACCACGGTATACTATTTTAGATGCAAGGCCATTGAAGGTGATCAGATCTTGGAAGGGGCCCTACCCTAGTATTCCCTTTTCTATCTGAAGACTGGACCTGCCAAAGAGAAAACCTTCTATCCCCTCCCCCAAATGTCATTATCTATCACAGAAAATAAGAGTGAGAAATGTAACCACACCTGGACAGATGTTTCCACAGGATAATGTCTGTCTCTGAGGCGCATTGAAATTCCAAAGAAAATTCTTTATAAGTTAATTTCCATCTTCAGCATCCATTCATTCTCCCTACTAACCATCTATTACTCCTCAAAAGATTTGCCTTCATTCCCCATATCCCCACTCCCCGTGAAGAAGAGTATATAAGCATCGTTGGGCTATTGGGTAATCACACCCGTGACTTCCCCCCATCTCCACCCCTTGTGCACGTTAAATAAATTTTGTATGCTTTCTCTCCTGTTAATCTGCATTTTGTCAGTTCATTTTCAGCAAACCCTCAGAAGGTGAAGAGGAAACTTTCCCTCCTCAAACCTACAATATTGAGCCTGAATCAAAGCTCGATTTGGATATTTTTATTTCTCAGATACACCCCATACAAGCTTCAATTCCCTAGCCCCCACATCAGTCACAGATTTCATATTTTAGGAATATGGCCTTGATACAGACAATCATTCCAGGCAGCAGATAAGAGACTCTCAAAGCAATTCTTCAATTCAACCCAACCCTTACCTGTTCTCTGTTCACTGCATTGAAGAGAACTGTCTTTGCTTTACCTCTCCAGAATCAACTCGCTGAGTCCAAGAATTGGTGTCACGTTCCAATCTGCTCAATTTCTTTCTCATACTAAGTAATAGACATCCTCATCCTTCCTGCTTAGGGTTTATTTTTAAATCACTATATTGGGATTTTTGTTTGTTTTCTGGTTCCTCAAAGATAGCTTAATTGAGCAAGGTTTATCCTGCCTTTCTTGTCTTGGCTCCAAAGATACCAAGATCAAGAGACAGCTAGCCTTAGAAATTTTCTATTTATGCATTAGCTTTTTCACTTTCTTAGACATGGCAAGCTGGTATCAAAGTTAGTCTTACAATAAAAAATCTTGCAGCTGACTATGTGTTATTATTTAGGGTCTCCAGAAAGACCCCTAAAGAAAACCCAATGGGTTTAACACAGTTGAAACTATTTTGCTACAATTAAGTTGTACTCAAATATATGAAGGAGGTTCAGCGACAAGGCCAATGTCTAGTTAAGAAGCAATCTGGCTTACAGAGAGGCAAATTGTCAACTGCAGGGTAATGTTAAAAAGTGATTCATTGGTAAAGGCCAATTCATCATAAAGCAGCAGGGTCGGGTAGGAATTGGAATGAGCCCAGCGGATGGTCTAACAAGAAGAGAAAAGAGAAATTACTAGGGTTAGAGTCTTGGTTACCCAGGTAACTATACAAAGATAGGAAACTGAACATTATAGTAGCTGTGAAACTAAATAGTTTAAACTTACAGTTTTTGGAACTTTAAGTTATCCTGAGCCTTGAGAGGAATGTGGCTCTGCAGCCTGAGCCAGGTGGCAGGCAGCTGCAACTTTTGCCTTTTTTAAAAGCCTCTTTTTCCTGTAAATAATTGAGACCAAACGGTGCCAGAGATAAGACCCCTAAGATCACTACCCATCCTCATGGAGTAATAAAGTAACTTCCCTTGGAATGCAGAAATCCATAATCAATCAAACCAATTGCTGTGGCATATGCACCTTGCTTCATACGAAAAATGTTGTAATCCTCCTACAACTTATCTGTCTGTGCCTATATAATTGAAACTTTAACTTCTCCATTTTGAAAATGCTGACCCTATTTTCATTTGGAATCAGTGTTTTCCTGGGTGACCATCCTCTTTTCAGCCTGAATAAACTGTATACTTAATCATATTTCCTAAATCTCATTATTTAAGATTGACAAATCTTAACTGGAAGAAAAAAAAGAGCACAGTTGTTTGCTATTACTATTATTCAGTTCATTTGTTTTTAATCTTTTCTGTTCCAACATGCAAAAACAAAGTGTTTAAAAAGAATATATAAAAAAAAGAAGGGCCGGCCGGGCGCAGTGGCTCACGCCTGTAATCCCAGCACTTTGGGAGGCCAAGGCGGGTGGATCACCTGAGGTCAGGAGTTCGAGACCAGCCTGGCCAACACTTTGAAACCCCATTTCTACTTAAAAAATACAAAAAAAATTAGCTGGGCATGGTGGTATGCACCTGTAATCCCAGCTACTCAGGAGGCTGAGGCAGGAGAACCGCTTGAACCTGGGAGGCAGAGGTTGCAGTGAGCTGAGATCGCACCATTGCACTCCAGACTGGGGGACAAGAACAAGACTCTGTCTCAAAAAAAAAAAAAAAAGGGACCAAGATTATGATGGTACAGAAACAAACATAGCAGATTATTTAGGAAAATTCAGATTGTATATGTGATCTAGAACAGTGTTTCTCAAAAAAATGTGCATATTTCTCCTGGTGATCTTGTTAACATGAAAACTCTGATTCAGTAGTTCTGGGGTATGGCCTGGGCCTGGGGTTCTGCATTTTTTTTATTCTGCATTTCTAACAAGCTCTCAGATCATACACATCTTACTGGTCTGTAGACCTCTGAGTAGCAATCATAGAATACAGCAATGTTCACTGATTGTGGAGACACTTTCTCAAAAGAGTTTCTGCAGCGCAGGAAAAGTACACATTATGCCACTATATCCAAAATCATCTAGGATAAAGCAAGCACTTAATACTTTATTTAACTGATGGGTTCTCAATTAGGGTACACTGTTTTCCATTTCTAGAGGGCTTTCTTTGAGGGGAGGAACTTATATCCATCCCTAAAGATATCTCCACTATTTTAAAACTAAAAGTTATAAACTTTCCAACAAAATATGTGAAAGCAAGAAGAAAAATGTCACTTCTTTGCCACAGTCTCTCCAACTCCTCTTTCAAATCAAAACAGAATTATCCAAAATATAAATATATTATTAATATACAAATACATATATACGAAAATACATATACACATATTGTAATTGTCTTCAAAGTAATTTTGTTTCTTAAATTATTGCAAACTTAAACTTTCTCAGAATTTAGATGTCAAATGAAAAGCTTATTGCAAAGTGCTTCACATTCATTTTAAGTGATTAGGGTAGAGCTTGGCTCAGAGTATATGCTCAATAAAGACTTCTTGGTATATATAAAACATGCTTTTTTAATATTTACCTTCAGTAATCAATGCAATAATCCTATCAGGTAGACAGAACATTTTTAGTCATTTTTTGGAAAATGGAATTTAGGTAGAAAGGTTGAGAACCCTTTCAGGGTGCTTTGTCCCTGGCCCTAGGGATGTTCCTTCTTTATCAGACCATTTCTCACGATGTCAAAGTCCTCGCTTCAATGCAATGAAAATTAACTTAAGTAGCAAATGAGATATCAGAGTGTGAACACACTCGAAAAATGTCAAAACATGTTAGAAAAGAGCTCATTTTAAAAAAAGTACGTTCTACAAAATAACTCAACTATAATAGATAATTAAGTTGCCACTTTTTAAAGAAAAAAATAGCTTGTACAATTCTGGCTCTAAAAATTAATATGGATGTAATATTAATGATAAATTGAAAGTTCAGGAAGGTATGATATAGTGTAAATCTCCACTTAACATTATTCATAGGCTTGGAAACTGCGACTTTAAGTGAAATGACCTAGAATAACATCCTAGAATAATTCTGTTTTGTTCACAATTGTTTCACTGTAATGTTGATGAGAAAAAACATTGGATTCATGATACATCATTTTGCTTAAATTTGGAGTTTCTAAGAACCTATCAATGATGTGATGTGAGGACTTACTGTGTATTATTTCATAATAATCTGTATTGTTTGCCACTGCCTCTTGAAATTAGAAGAATAATATTTTTTTAAATCCAAATTTTTAATTGTGCTTAACCAGCTATTACCTCTAGGTCAGAAATGTCAGTGGGCAGGCTTAATGTAAACCCCAATCCCAGCAGAAATCACGGAAGCTCTGGATGGCCAAGCTCAGGAGGCAGCATTTAATTACCAGGAACAAAATGAGGATGAGCGTCATAATAGGCAACAGGGCTGGAGTAGTCATCAGGGTGCATGAAATATCTGACATGCAGAGATTCCTAGATAGAATTAATTAATCAAGACATCTCCAGAAACAAATTCATTACACATTCCCTAAGGTCTTGATTAATTGTTGTAAGACAAAACAATTCCAGCGCTAACATACAAAGGCCTTATTTGAGCCATCAGCCTAGAGAACAAAGGTTCTAACCTAATTCCCAAGTCACAGACCTGGAGCCTCTTATATAAAGAGAAGATCAGGTATTGAGGAAAACTCGTTTTATCTTTACCAGGCTCTACTATGATGCCTTCCTAAAGTCTTACCATAAAGAACTTTTAATTAGATGACTGTTTTTTTCAAAAAGGGGAATGACCAAACTTTGGAGTCATGCTGGATAACAAATATACGTGAAAACTAATTCCTATGGATCTTGGGAAACTGTGCTCCAATTTAGCAATTTAAGGATAAGGTAAAATACTAGCAAGTCTAAATAAAAATTACTACTATATTATAACAAACACAATCAGAGGTTGACTTCAATTTCAGCTGTACTCCTAAATGTAGATTTCTAACAGAAGTAAATTTATAGAGCTGCCAATAATGGATATGGCAAAAAAAAAAAAAACCTGCATTCTCATATGCAAGAGTCACGAAAAGCAACTGTCAGTAACCTAAAGAAGAGCAGTGTTTCTCAGCCCTTCCTTCAGACCACCGCACACATCTATTGCATTACAGATGCCATGTTGATAAGATCTAAACAGCAAGAAGCAGCGTGGCAGGGGGTGACATTAATCCCTGGGAAACAAGAAGCCTCCCACGGCGATGACATTCCTGTGGTCAAATCAGCTAAGGCACTGGTTCTCCTGCTTTAATGTGCACACAATTCACCTGAGGATCTTACTGAAATGCAGATTCTGATTTAGTAAATCTGGAATTGAGTCTGTTATCTATTTCTAACATGTTCCTAAATGATGGTTGCTAGATTTTGGATTACACTATGAGAAGCATAGCTGACGAGGTGGGCTGTCTCCTCTATCTTAGTCCATTTTATGCTGCTATATCTAAGACAGGGTGATTTATAAAGAACAGAAATGTATTCCTCACAGTACTAGAGGCTGGGAAGTCCATGATCAAGGCACTGGTAGGTTGGTGCCCGGAAAGGGCTGAGTCTCTGATTCCAAGATGGTACCTTGAACACTACATTCTCCCAAGAGGAAGAACACTGTTCCTCGCATAAACAGACGAGTGAGAGAGAGAGAGCAAATCCACTCCTACAAGCCCTTTTTGTAGCAGTATACCATCCTCATGGCCTAAATACTTCTTATTAGGCCCCACCTCTCAACACTATTTTATTGAGAATAAAGTTTCAACATGAGTTTCAGAGGGGATAAAAACCTTCAAACCATAGCATTCTCCAAAATAAATCATTGTAACCAAGGAGGCACCATGACAGATAGACTTTTGGATATGGGATATTCTATTAGTATCCTTTTACTATGTCTTTCAAAAGGCTGTCAAATTTGAATCAGGTGTAATGCGAAAGAGTGTCTAGTGGACCCAGATTCCAATACAAATGGTTCTGCCACTCATTCCTGGATGATATATGAAGCTTATGACAAGCCCTGACAGAAGAATGAAGAACAGGCATTTGGGATATAGGGTTAAGGACATGCATCCTTCCACAGGTATCATCTTTCAGTTTGCTACTTGGTTCCAATGCTGGATGAGACATTAGGTGACCATTCAACCCAGACTGCCACCAAAAACTAGGTGCTATGAGATCACTTTAGCTGTAGAGCCCAGGTTACCCAGCAGCTTTCGATAATTAAGTAGAAGCAATTTATGCATTCAGGACTGATAAAGCCCACAAAGGCATGAGTAAGTTGCAAGAGGTTGTTCACATCGCCAGGAATTTGACTCTAGTCATACCTCTGAGCCTCCCTTAACCCAAACCCATGGTAGCAAAGTCCCCTAATGTAAATTGGGTTTACAGTCGTACAATATAATGGCACAAGACAAAATTGTTCTACTTTAAGAGTTTAGCAGGTCATAGGGATGATACTGAAGAAAATGGAGAGGGAAAATATTTTCTATGTACCAAAATGTGAGCAGTCATTCAGGATCTTCCACTTCACCCCAAAAGAGCAATAAGTTGAAATCAGAATTTATATAAGATGCCTGCACAATGGTTCATGTTTGAACTAATTTGAACTAATATTTCTTGGAGGGAGCAAGAACAAGATTAGAAATACTACAAAGAGATTTGGGGACCACAGCTTTAAAATAACGATGTCCCATTTCTCATGTGAATGCTCACCACAAGACATTCTCTGCAGAAAAAACAAATGTAGTCTAAGGATGTTCTTCACATGGCAGAGAGAGCCAGATGTTTGTATAATGAGCTTATGAAGAAAGAAGCCAGCTGATTAGGCACAAACATGGACCATCATGCACCACGGCCCATTTGCCCTGGTATCAGCAACCCCGAAACTTGGGGTTCTATTTATCTGGAAGTTTTGGGAAAAAAAAAAACCTCCAAGATAGAACACAGAAATATCACTGTCTCAATGGGGACTGCCACCTGACCATTTGGGGATTCTCATCTACTAAAGAACTAGTAGGAAAGAGAGTAACAGTGTTGGTTACAGTAACTGGTCCTGTCCAACAAGGAAAAATAAGGTTGCCTGAATACTCTCAGAACTCAAAAGAATAAGGGTATAACCTAGGTGAACCCTCCTTATACTAGTGCAGCGCTCCATAGGTATAACCATCAAGGGCTCAGGCTCTTTAGAAATAAGGTGTGTCCAAGCTAGTTCTCAATTCTTAAATATCCTGTTTCCCATCTTCAGCTTACCTTTTCAAGAAAGAACCTAGTAGAAATTGTATGCAATATGTCTTGATAGAAATCTATGTGCAATATTTACTGAGGCTGTAGTGAATTATTTAGAAAGTTTTACAAAAGAGCCTTTTAGTAGTAAGTAATGGATAGTCACGCTGGATTTGGCAGTGGATTATAGAAAGTGGTTTTCCTATGCATTCAAGTAACGGCAGCTCAACTACCTCTCACCACTCATCGCTCTTTATAGAGAGACATGTGTACATGTGGTGAAGGACTTAACACTGAAAGAAACCCATAGCAGGGGAATTTTAGAAAATTAATTGATTGGTCTTCTATTTCTCTACATACTGCAAAAGTAATCATCTGTTTTAGAAGAAATGCCCTGTCCATAGCGGAGCTATCTGTGGTCCCATAAATGAAGACGTGTTTATATTTTATACAACATACATTTTACAGCCTAAAACAAATCAAATGTATACAGTCTGCCTAACTGAACTACATAAAGTTCCCCTTTGTATTCAAAAATTTCCAATGATTCTTTCTAATGAGAACATCTTTCACTCTGATATAAATACACCCAACAAAAGCACAGAGATTCTAGTCTCATAGCATAATGTAGTAGGGGTGCAGTGTCCATTTAAACAGTAATTAGAGCATAAAAACTATACTTATTTCTAATTTGGTAAACTTATATAGTCCAAAGCATATATTTCTTTTTTATAACAAATAATTTTAGCAAGTTTTTACCATTAAATTTTATCCTCCACTGAGAATATTAAGTGCCACGGAAAATAATTATTTTATATTTGCCTTCATTCTGCAATATGTCTATTCTACATCATTCTAATAGAGTAGAAAATATAAATATATCACTAATTAGTATTGGTAGGTATGCTGAATATAGAAAATGAAGTTATATTCTATTTAATTCAATGTCTTTGTTATACACAGCTCCTATTAATCCCTAGAACTTGCACTGGGAACTTATTAATTTCCTACCAAGAAGCCAAAAATGCAACAGTATTTCAACTACATGACTCAAGCATTATATATGTAGCTATTCACAAAAAAAACTTTAAGTAGACTATATTCTTGGGGAATTTCTAAGCTTTAATAACCATCTGTTTTTCTAGTATTTGTTACCAGATCCTGTTTTTCTTTATTCTTACTCTCAGAAATCCAAGGATCTTCCTAATTATTCTCCAAAAATGCTAAATGCACCCATACCTCATAAATGCATACAGTGTACAATTTGGTCTCTACTGACATATATTATGCTCCACAAACATGCATCTCTTCTCCCATTGAAAAATGTACTCCTTTAATGAAGGTTTAGATGCTTTTGTGACATGATAAAATGTATTTAATTTTTAGGTGTAAATTACTAATAGTGCTAAAATCCTAAAAATTTCATTATAAATGAAATATATTAATTAAAGGCTGAGTGTGGTGGCTCAAGCCTGTAATCCCAGCACTTTGGGAGGTCAAGCCAGGCAGACTGCCTGAGCTCAGGAGTTCGAGGCCACCCTGGGCAACACGGTGAAACCCCATCTCTACTAAAATACAAAAAATTAGCCAGGCGTGGTGGCAGGCACCTGTAGTCCCAGCTACTTCGGAGGCTGAGACAGGAGAATCGCTTGAACCCAGAAGGCGGAGGTTGCAGTGAGCCAAGATGGTGCACTGCACTCCAACGTGGGTAACAGAACAAGACTGCATCTAAAGAAAAAAAAAAGAATATATATATGTGCATATATATATATATATATATAATGTGTATATATATGTGTGTGTATATATATATAATGTGTATATATATGTGTGTGTGTGTATATATATATATATATATATATATATAAACTCAAATGGAGGATAAGTAACTTCACCAAAGCCACATTGCTAGTGAGCAAACATGATCTGAGCCCAATCCTCCTGATTCATAGCTGATTTTCTATTATGTTGTTATGCTCTTTTCATCATATATGCACTGATTACATTAGGAAACAGAATAGAAGAAAATGAAGGGAAATACTTTAATAAAAATATATCTGTATGAAAATTCAAAATTCAATCATTTACAGTAACAATATTTAAAAGCAAATTTCAAGATAAAATGTGAAAAATAATGTAAAAACAATAAATGTAATAAATTTTGGATGCTAAAACTACAACAAACTACAAAATAAATAGCATATATAAAATGCTCTAATAAACAAAAATTACATTTATTTCTCTTTACATTTTTATGACATTAAAAAATTTTAAAGATGAGAAACTCAAAGAAAAAAGACAGTGAAATGGAAAGGGATTTGTACATTTCATAACATTTGTAATTTTGGAAAATATGAAATAAATTTATGAATGCATACACCAATCAAAAGGCAAACTCTTCAAAAGTGTACATTTCTTTTCATTTTAGTAGATTGATTCCCTTATTTAATGAAAAGAGTAATTTTAAGTGTCTGGTAAAAAGATTAACTTTTTTTTAAAGTTTTATGCATTTTAAAGAACATATAAATTTAACAGTGAAGCAAAACAAAAAAAAAACTAACGACAATTTTCATATGAAAGGTTCTCTGAACACTGAATTACATCATCTAAATATGAATCTGTTTTTTTTTCCTCCAAGAATAGTTTCTCAGGAAAAATGTTCTACATGAAAAAAACACAACTTGGAAAGCCTTCTGTGCACCCAATGACCATCTACTTTCCCACTTTCCAAAAACCAAGCAAATGTCTTAAAAAGACTGTTTGTCTCAGTCTCTATTTTATAACCACAGCTCACTGCTATCTGACTTATAACTCTCCCTTGTGCCTGGATTGAAAAACTCAAATGCTAAATAGAAAGACTATGCCGCATAGCATTGGGCCTCTCCTTCTCATTTCACATGGTTGCCCGCTCCCTCTGAGAATTCACTCTTGCCCTGGCTCTCTGGCTGCCTTTGTTAGACACTCTACAGGCCCCTTGTATGCCTCACTTTTACCACTAGGAATCCATCTGCAGCCCTTTTCCCAACATGTACATTCTTCCTAGACAGTTTTACCTGAAAAGGTCACTCTCTTTTATGGGTATTCCAAAATTTGTATGTCCAACTAAACCTATTTTGAATACTGGACTCCTTTTTCAATGGACAATTGGCTGCTTCCTCAATGCAAATGCCCCAGAAGCGTTTCATTCATACCACTGTCAAAACAGAATGTATCCTCTCCCCAAAACTACCTTCCCATCTTTTTAGATCCCCTTCTCTATGAGTTGTTCAAGCCAGAAACCCAAGGGGCATCTTGGACTCTTCTGTTTTCCCCAGTAATACCGCTGAAAACATTTCTCCAAACCCTGAAAATTTTACCTTTAAAATCACTGTCAGATAAATCCCTCCTTGTCTCCATCAATCCTGCCACTGCTATAGTCCAGGGCCTTATAATTTCTTGCCTGTATTGCTACAATGTCATATTATTATGAAATGTATTACATATTACAAAAGATATATATATATAAACTGCAGAAATATTCAAAATAAAAATTAAAACCATAATCTTCATCCAAAGATAAATATTTCTAATATTTGAATATATATCCTTTCACATAATTTTCTTGCTTCCATAGCACAGCCACAGGAGGATGGAGTGATGTTGCAAAATTTAAATAACACTCCGTAATTTCTCTGTTTAAAATTTCTGTGTGGGGGTCCAACATCGCTTTCTGGATTAAAGTCTAGAATCCCTAACATGGTATGGATCACTGCTGGCTTTGCCTCTGCCTTCAGCCAATTTCTTCACTTTCAGCCATTTTCTTTGCTTCCACTATTTGTATCTTCTTACAGTTCTTTGTAGATAATACTGTACATATGATGCTGCCTCTGCTTAGTGAGGCCCATCCTGTCTTCCTTCATCTGGTTAATTACCATTTGCCCTTTAGTAGGTCATTTAATTCTGCAACCGTCTGTCTCAATTGGTGTGAGTAGAGTAATCCTCCTCTGTTCTCACCAGTTTCTCATAATTCCCTGAGCATACCTTTTACGGACCTTATTGTCTGCAAATTGTTACTGCCTTTTCTGCATCACTATTGAAGAAAACTCAATTCTAAGGCATCTTTTTATTAGCCCTTAGCAATATGGTTCAATCTATGTATTTTGTATTACAAAATATATACAAAATATAAAAGATTTTGACTTTATTTATGTGGATTTTTCTTTTTTTGGTCTCACATGAACCACATGTAAGAAGGATATTTGGGTTTCAATCTCAAATCCGTTGTTATTTACTTCAATGTAACACTGGGTGAAGTAGCCTTTCTGAGTCTCATTTTCTCCACTATTAAAATGAAGTGATTCCCTCCTTCGAAGATTATCAGCACAAGATAGGTCAACTGGGGTTTTAAACTTGGGGTGATTTTGCTCCCTGGGGGGACATTTAGCAGTGTCTGGAGACACTTTGGGCTGTCATGGCTGGGAACGGGGAAGGGGCTACTGGCATCTAGTGGGTAGATGTCAAGATGCTGCGAAGCATCCTACCATACACAGGACAGTCCCTCACAACAAATAATTACCTGGTCCCAGTGTCAATAGTGCCATGTTGAAAAAGCCATCAAACAATGCAGGTATGCTTTTAGCATATCACATGACCTATTTTTTAGTGCTTGGTACATGACAGTAATTGATAATAGCAGATTCGTTTATTTCCAGCCTCTTACAAGATTTGAAATTGTGTTTTTCCTTCATCACATTTCTTATGTGGCAGATTAGATCACTGGTCAGCAAGCACTGACTCTGCATTCTCTAGCTCCATGGGAGAAATATGCACTGCCCCTCTCCACCAATGTGCTTTGACCAATCAAATACAGACAGAATTTACCGTGTACCAATTCTGAGCCTCATCTTTAAGAGGCACTTTATCTTTCCACTTGCTCTCTCACAGTCCTGCCAACAACTGTAAGAAGAGTCCTCTGAAGTAGCTGCCTCCCCTTCATCTGGGCCCCAAAATGGATACACCAGGAAGAGTTCTACACACATCCCCACCAGCCAGGCCCTGGAGCAGTTGTGTCTGCTTGGACTCAGAGGTCAGAGCCAAGCCAAGATGAACCAAGCCTCGATCAGCCAAACCTTAATGGATGTGCAGACGCATGAACAAGAAATAAATGCTTTCAGCCATATGCCTCTGAGATTTTGTGGTTGTTATGCAGTGATAATTGACCAATAAACCATATGCTTTTTGACCACTATTTTTACACAATTTTTTCCACACTAAGAAAGCTAAGAAAACTTAACCCCAAGACATCTTTCTGACCAGAATCAAATCTCTCATAGAGGAATGCACAATAACAGCATCGGCATTGCCTACTAAGTGCTTTTTTTCTTCACTTTGTGTTCAAGTGTATATATTTAAGTATAAGGGTTTTTATTTCCAATGGAAGATGGGTCCAAAAAGTGACCAAAATTTGGCTATTAATTCAAAAAGTATTCAGAAAAAGCACAGGAGAAGGATAGAATAAAAAACAAAGCAACAGCTGGCATGTGCTTTTGCCACCTCATAATTAGGGAAAAAAAGATATACATTTAAGATTAATTTCTCTGGAGGGAAACAATAAAGTGAGTCTACTCAGAATATTTTTAAGTTATAGTAACGTTCTTTATATTACAACCCTTTTATTCTATATCCTATTTCTTTGATGCTTGACTTCTTGTTTATGTGTTACAAATTAAGGACATTAACCAGAGCATTAATATATTATCCTTATGGACTTAAATGCTATATACTTTAATAGTAGTGTCACCCATAGTAAATATCCAATAAGTGTAAGTGTTTTATTAATGAAAAAATACCTTGTCGATCATATTTTATACTCTCCCTAGTTCTTATTACTGTCATCAAAAATTTTCTTATTTAATAAAAATGTTTTTCATCAACTATATTTGAGGTAGCCTCTGAAAACTGGCCCCACTAATATACCAATGCTAGGAAACCATTCTTCTTGTCTTGGTTTTTTTTGTAGCACTTACAGAAGATTAGAACTGCTATAAATGGGCAATTTAATTAGGTATATACAAATTTTGTCTGTAAGTCAGAAACTAGAAAATTTGCTCATGTGATTTTCATTGTTTAGATCAGTGTAATCATATATATCAGACTCTCAAAGGTAGATGTGGAAAGAGATTGAGAAACTGACAGATTTCAGTTCAACTGCAAAGGAAGAATAGCTCATATAATCATATACTCCTACCCTTACATAAGTAAAAGAAAAATGGTAGGAAAATTACATGCTACTATTCTAGGTCTTCTTCAGATATTGATAAACCAAGTTAATAGTTTAGCTAATATCCTCTAAAGACAAGAAACCAACTTCACTTCAGGGACTCAAATATTTTTGGTATAGCATTCTTCCAAGATCTTCTATAAACAATATGTATAATATATGTACATAATGACTAAGCACTCTTGCCAAGAATAAAATAGATTTACAAAGCACAAATATGCAAAATGTCTCCATCAAAAATGACATTATATAAATTTTTCTGTTGAATAATCTAATTTATTTTTACTGAATAATCACAGTGGCATCAAAGCAATACTACATAAGCAAAGCTTTCAACATTCCTGATGTCTTCACAACCTACACTGGACATTTCAACTTCCAACCTCCCCAAATGCATTTCAAATTTAATATAAGCAACAATGTTTCTAGAATAAAAACTACAATATTGTTTCATGCAGAGTGAAGATCCAGTTAATGAGCAATAATTAATCATAACAGCTTGCTTCAAACTACATTCTTGTTGAGAATTATACAGACTCTATAAAATTGATAGCTTAGAGTGCTTGAGGAAGAAAAACACTATTTTTCCATACTATCCTTGCCCAACTAACACTGCTAAAAGATGAGGCATCTTAGCTTGAAAGGAGAGAAATGGCTGTCATAAACAGGTTTCTTACTATTCTTAGAGTATAAATAAAATGGTGAACTGCCTGTTTAAGCTTCTTTTCTTGGCAGTGGTACTCTGTTTTGAAGCTGTGTTGATGGATGCTAAACTCTAAATATCACCTGAGAAGGAGATAAAACTGAAGCTTACAGTAAGGTATATGACTGTGTCATAACTAAGAAGATTTGGTACAACAATTTTACAGCAGTCAGATATATGGAAATTAAACATACAAACAAAATTGCAATTACTTTTTAAAAGGGAACCCTGTACTGTACCCCTCATAGGAAGCATTCTATAACCAACCATGTTATATTTCTCCTCCTAATTAGGTAATCATTCCATTGATTGAACTATACTTCTATTGCTGTGTTGACTCCTGTCTACTGTAATTATTCATTAGCTTCCTTATTAGATGGGAACAGGGCCTTGATATGGTTTGGCTGTGTCCCCACCCAAATCTCATCTCGAACTGTAATCCTTACAGGATTATAGGAGAGATCTATAATCCCCACGTGTCAAGGGAGGGATGTGATAGGATCATGGGGGTGGTTTCCTCATGTTGTTCTTGTGACACTGAGTGAGTTCTCATGAGATTTGATTGTTTTATAAGTGTTTAACAGTTCCTCCTTCACATGCTCACACTCTCACCTTCCACCATGCAAGACATGCCTGCTTCCCCTTCTGTCATGATCGTAAGTTTCCTGAGGCCTCCCCAGCCATATGGAACTGTGAGTCAATTAAACCTCTTTCCTTTATAAATTACCCAGTCTTGAGTAGTATGTGTATAGCAGTGTGAAAATGGACTAATTCAGACCTACATCTCTGTATTCCCTGAATTTTCAGCACCTAGCAGAATCTCAGGTCCAGAAAAAAATGATAACAAGTTCACTCGGTTGAATTCAACAGTGAAATTATATCCTTTACTCTCCCAGCTCTTCATTTTGATGGGATCAAGTACGAAGGCACAAATTCAGCCTTCAGAAAACTGTTTCAGTTCTGTTACAAAGCAGTAAAACTATCCTCAGCATTTTCAATAATATTTTCAGATGCTGATTTAATAATACAAACATATTTACATATTTACAAACAGTCTTACTATAAAAATAACATATGTATTGGCAATGACTAGGAATAAAATAAAAAATTGGGTTCCCAAATAAAATTTTTCTTCCTAGTTTGTTTAGTTCATGGAAATATTCTTAGCAATATTAATCTAGAAATATATGTTACATACACAAAATCTTCTTGATATGGATTCTCTTACTCAGTTCTCATATCTCTCTTAAGGTCAGTATAGCCATTGTCTCCATTCTACAGATGAGGAAACTAAGGTACAGAGACATTAGGTAAACTGTCTAAAGTAGCAAAACAAGAGTTAGAGATAAACCCAGGTGATAGGACTCCAGAGATCATGCCCTTAAAGTCTAAAACAGAGAATAAAAGATCAATCTTTATCCCATCCATCTAAAGAAGACCGTAATTGACACTGAAAAACTAAAAACAAAAATCACATTAACTGAACATCTACCATAGATTATACATTGTCCTAAGGAAAGTGATATACACATGGTTACAAATATAAGATGTAACTTTTTTATTCTCCAGAAAGTAACACAATTGATTGAACAGAGAATTCTGGAAACAAGACCTATTGCAGAAGGAAAATGAGTGAAATGAGCAGGAACTAATTTTGAATAGATATAATAGAGATTATAGAGGACATTTAAAGCTATGAATATTAGATAGCATTTTAAGCAGCAAGAAAATGCAAAGCACCAAAGAATTTCAAATTGGAGAATGGCATATGAACGACATAATCTAAAATCCTAATCTGTTAGGTTACTTGGGATCAGCAGAGAACTAAATCTATCTAGACTTTTTAGTTCAATCAAGAGGCTGCTCGGTAACAAAAGGGTCAAGAGGAACAGGGAGGAAAGAGTAAATTCTATATTAAGAATGAAATATCCAAAGAAACAAAAATAGGAAGAGAAAAGAGGAAGAGACCTAGGAAGAAATGATCTCCGAGTCAGGATAAAGAGTCAAAACAAGGTACTAGCCACAAAGTGGTGTTGAGACAGTTTTGAAGATGAGGAAGAGAACATCAAGCTTCAAATAGAATGAATAACTAGTATTTATTTCTTTCTAATGGTGCTCTTCATCAAACTGTTGGGCAGCATGAGAAAATGAAATACCATGCTATTACCATCTGACAGCACCTCTCTAACTTCTAGACATGTCCTGAAAAAGTATATCCCAGTACAATCGCAACACCGTTAAATAAACCAGAGTGAACTAAATCAATGTTCCTAAGCTTTATACCAAAGGTCCATTAATCTGTTTCATAGTAAGGATTAAATGTATTAAATGCATGAAAGGACTATATTTAAAGCTGAAATTATAGTAAATTCTCAGAGAAACATTATCTCCAAATGAAAAAAAAAACAGCAGGTGGTTCATGATCACCAGGAAAAGAGGCAACTCAAAGTGGCATTAAACATACAGCAGGAATGTTTTATGTAAAAGCAGGTCCTGCCCCAAGGGGGTGACTGTTACAGAATTTTCTTCTGCACAACACCCAAAGGAAGAATCAGTACAGAAGTGTCCAAGAATGGAGTCTTACACAACACTCCATAACCGGCACCTTTAACCAAAAGATAGTCTATTAAATATCACAATACTCCATCGGTTCTTGTTTGGGGGGTTGTTTGTTTTTTTTAACATAAGGTCTTCGTAATCAGCACTTCATGGAAGTGATCAAAATTGGATTGTCAGACTTCAACAGTATGTTGATGATCACTTACAATAAAATCAGAATGAGAAAGGGAAATTGTCTGAAAGGACCATTGAGCCAGGTAATAGATTCAGTCTAATATATCCACACAGCAGGAACCAAATTAAAATGTAGATGGAATTCTAATATAGTCCAACTGGAAAGACTCGCTCCAGTTTCTTACAGAGGCTTGCTTGCTGTTTGCAAGCAGCTAATCTTAAAGACACAAAATTGGTTATATTAATTACTTCAGACACTTTTACATGTATAAACAGGTAAGTTAAAATAGTATCAAGGTTATGGTGCCTGAGATAAAAAGGGAAAAACACACATAAGCTAGAACTACTCTCTTACCTGATTCAAAATCACATCACAAAATATTTGCATGATTCAGAATAATGCAGATGACTTCAATGGGTCACAAATCATACACCTAAATCCAATATGCGCTCCGATGCCATAAAAATTTTCACTGAAAAGAAATCAGCATGTAATCTACACTTTCCATCTCGCTTCCCACTTCCAATTTTTTTTACCCATCACCTTTCCCAGCTGAACTGTGATACTGATATCAGTCTAATCCCCATTTGTAAGAAAAGGAAAATCTCAGTGGTTATGAGCACTTTTTTCTAACCTTTGAAAGGACGTTTGACAGAGATGGAGAAATTTCACAGACAGGCCTTGTAGAGAGCTGTCTGAAGGAAGAAAATCTCTGTGCTGCTTCACTTATAGGATAAGAAATACAAAGGAAAATGTTTAACAAAATAAGAAATGAGGAGGAAAAGAAGACATGACATAACCAAGCTACTATGCTTTTAATTGTTCTGGCTGCTGCAACTTAATACAACAAGTGACAAAACTCACACAAAGGCATACTTCAAAACCTGTGGTGGGAGTGGGGAGGGTTTGTTGTTGTTATTGTTGTTTTGAGACAGGATCTCACTCTGTCACCCAGGCTGGAGTGCAATAGCGTGATCTCAGCTCACTGCAACCTCTGCCTCCAGTTTCAAGTGATTCTCGTGCCTCAGCCTCCTGAGAAGCTGGAATTACAGGCACACGCCACCCTGCCCAGCTAATTTTTGTATTTTTAGTAGAGACGTGGTTTCATCATGTTGGCCAGGCTGGTCTCAAACACCTGACATCACGTGATCCACCCACCTCGGCCTCCCAAAGTGCTGGGATTACAGGCATGAGCCACCATCCAGCCAGGTATTTTTTTTCAAAAAGATGAATCTGAATTTTTATATAACAAAGGTTTACAAAATTCTGAGTGCAGTAAATCAGAAGAGAGTATGTTTTTAAATTACTGAATAGAAAAAATATATAACCTTTGAAATTAAAGTGGAATTTTTAAAGTAGAGAATTTCCCATTTTAAACAAATTTTTGAAACTTATATGATTGACCAGGCATAGTGGCTCACACCTGTAAGACTAGCACTTAGGAGGCTGAGGTGGGAGAATCCCTGGTGCTCAAGAGTTCAAGACCAGCCTGGGCAATATCATAGGAAGACTCTGTCTTTACCCAAAAAAAAAGAGAAAAAAATTAAAAAGAAAATTAGGCCAGGTGCAGCGACTCACGCCTGTAATCTCAACACTTTGGAAGGCCAAAGCATGTGGATCACTTGAGGCCAGAAGTTCGACACTAGCCCAGCCAAAACAATAAAACCCCATCTCTACCAAAAATACAAAAATGAGCTGGACATGGTGGTGCATGTCTGTAATCCCGGCTACTCAGGAGGCTGAGGCATGAGAATCACTTGAATGCGGGAGGCAGAGATTGCAGTGAGCCGAGATCATGCCACTGCACTCCAGCCTGGGCAACACAGCAAGACTATGTCTCAAAAAAAGAAAGAAAAGGAAGAGAGAGAAGAGAATAAAAAGAAAAGAGAGAAGAGACAAGAGACAAGACGAGACAAAGAAAATTGGCCAGGCATGGTGGTGCATGCCTGTAGTCTCAGCTACTCAGGAGGCTGAGGTGGGAGGATGGCTTGAGTCCTGGAGGTCAAGGCTACAGTGAGCTGTGATCTCATCACTGTAATCCAGCCTGAGTAACAGAATGAAACCCTGTCTCATTTAAAAAAAAAAAAAAAAAGACCATTATCTTAGCTACGAAGAAAACTTAAATATTGAATAGTAAAGATTTTATTGGCTAAATTTTCTAATAAAAAATATAACAAAATTATAAATACATAAAACTAATCAGACCAAGCATATAATTTTAAACACATTTGTATTGGTTTCCTGGGGCTGCTGTTACAAAGCCCTACAACCTAAGGGGCTTAAACAAGAGAAATTTATGGATTCACAGTTCTGGAGGCCAGAGGTCTAAGATCAAGCTGTAAGCAGAGTTAGTTTCTTCTGAAGGCTGTGAAGGAGAACTGTTCCAGGTGACTCACCTCACTTCCGGTAACCTCAGGCAACCCCTGACTTGAAGATGGCATTCCTCTGTCCTCATATCATCTTTCCTCTGTACATATTTCTCTACGTTCAAATTCCTCTTTTATATAAGGCCACCAATCACATTGGAGTGGGCCCACTCTAATGACCTCATTTTAACTTGATTACCTCTGCAAAGACCTTATTGCCAAATAAGGTTACATTATGAAGTACTGGAGGTGAAGAGTCCAGCATATCTTTGGCAGGGTGGGGACACAAAATTCAACCCATACCAACATTCTTTAGGGTACCATACTGAGACATGGTGCTCTTGAATACTTCTACAGGGAGAACATCTATGTTCCGCTGTGAATATTAGAGAGCACCATATCTCAATATGAGGCATGGCCACAGAACTTGCATTGGCAGAGGAAGTGTAAGTGGAAGCAACATGCACAGCTGCCAAGCAGAGGCACTGGGACCAGGACCATCTTTCCTGCTGACTTTCTCTCTTTCACTAAAGCCAAACATCTCAGATAGGGCTGCTCCTTCAGCCTGGGCAGGAAGCGATACCACCTATGCATAAAGAACTTAATCTTCTCCATGGATGTGAGCCAGCGATATTCTGGGGTCAACATAACTGCAGTAAACCTGGCCAATCCTGACCAAAACCTGTCTAGATAATCTCAAAGAATAAAAGCAAAGTAAAATTGCAAACTAAAACAAAATGAAAATAACACTTCATAATAAAACATATGCAATACAGTGAAGCTATAATCAAAGGAAAAATTATTCCCTAAAACACTTTCATTGCCAAGAAGACAACTTAAAAGGTCAAAAATTAATTCCTCTTAATAAATCAGAAAAGTGAAATAAAATTTTTAAATGTAGCATTGTTTTTTAAAAATGGTTTTAATGTTTTGAAAATTTAAACAGATGTTACTAAAAACAAAAGGATAAAGGATAACTAAATCTGAACTAATGTTCTTGGAAAAACAGCATCAACATAGACAAAAACCCAAATTAAGACAGTGAGAGGAAAGCAGAGAAAAGAGAAAGGGGCAGAGAACTGAGAGCATAAGAAGGGAAGGAAAGCATAAGAATGAGAAAAGAAAGCAAAATGAGGAATGAGAAAGGATATGAGCACAGATTCTCAGGAAATTAAATTAATCGCAAGGAATTGCATGTCTCCAAGCTAACTTCCCAACCATCCTCACCCCACACTTGGCTGTGGCCTTGGTGGAGGAATCGTGGATCACTTAGCTCTCCAGACCCTTTCTCCCTCTGTGGTGACAGGGATCACCTGACTATTGTTTTTCACCTAATGTCACCGTTTTCAGGACTTTTTTCCAACTTTCTTCCCCAATAATTCAAATCAGATGTCTTCTCTGTGACATCTTAACTCCATCATAGCAAAGCACATTGAATTGTAAGCATTTGTCTATTTTCCACAATAGATTTTAAACTTCTTAAAAGCAGTCATAATTTCCAGTCCTAGCTCTAGATGAAATACTGGCAGTCCTCATACTGCACAGTTGTCTGGTAACTAAGATCAATGCAGGCGTGTAAAGCAAGGACCCGGTTCAGATTTGGATGCATTTCAATTAACCCAAAATTGTGCAAAGCGGGGACTGCCTGAAAATGGTACAGTGCCCAGCATTCAATATATACTAAATAAACACTGATGAAGGAATGTGTGTGCTCTCCATAGTAGTATACCCACAGTCTTAGAGTTGAATAGAATTTTCAAAAGAACTTCGTTAAAACTAAGATAGAAGGAAAATGAGGACATTGTAAATCAGTCCCTGAAAGTACTCTCTTGCAAGACTCATGTTGATCCTAGGTTCCTCCCTCTCCCCAGTCCCACTCCATCACCAGTTACCTAGTCCTCTGAAATTTTCCTTCTCAATATACTTAGAATCTTTCTCCTCTGCTCTCTATCATCACTACCAAAACTCACTTCCTTGTCTTTTCTCTCACCCAGACTATTAAAATATATTAACTCACCACCCTGATCATTCCTGGTCAGCTAGAAGAAATGACCTGGAATCCTAAGTCAAAATATTTAATAAAACAGCACCAATTAAACCTCAGTTTTAAAACTTTTAACATATACTCTTTCAATTCTTGAGAACAGCAGTTGAAACAAAAATAAAAACGTAAAGTTTGTTCCTGTCACAAAAAAAACTTGGGACCATAACGTCCCCCTGCCCCCTAACTAGGAAGGTGCTGAGAGGCCAAAGAATGACTTGGACAAGTCCCCCTTGGAGAGTAGATGAGTTTAATAGGACTTACATACAGCGCACTCCTGGGTGGCAGCAGGGAAGCTGTAGAGACCCACATCACCTCCTATTCCTAAGCACTTTTACGCTAATTTTCTGGCTCTTTGCCTGCTGTGTGTGTGTGATGGAACTGTTTCCCTTGGTAGGTTCTCAGGTACTCTATGGGATGTTTGAGTTCTCAGGGACATCTGCTCCTTGACTGGGCACCATGGCCTTGGCTCGTGGCCTGGCCTTCAGGGTTCAGGCAGTGGACATACACCCTTAAGTAACCTGGTGGGGGACCCATCACAGTTCAGTCCCTACTAAAAGCAATAGAGGAGCTGAGTAAATTAAATAGTGAGATCTCAGTGTTCATAATTTAAGTTTGATTTGGATTAATTCAACTTGTGGGAAGAATCTTTAGATGAAGCTGTTATTTTTATTTAAATAAATTTATGCTTTCTACTAGAATGGACTGGAATTGAGAAGATCAATGATTTGCAGCATTTAAATTGGGTAAAATATTCAAAAGAATCACAGAGATAACTTATTTAATAAGTTTTCCCTTTGAGGAAAAAAAGTTAAAGATAAGTACTCTGAAGAAAGGCAGAAAAGATACTACTTGTGAAAATTGGGGTGAAATATTTTGACATTTCAATACAAAAGTATTAGACTTTTAAAACCACCAATTAAATGGAATTAGCCCAGAGCTTACAAAATACAAGAGTTACAAAGAAAATCTTTTTCAAACTATATTATAGTCTACAGAGAAATGTCAACTGAAGGTGTCAACAATTTCAAATGTATTCACAACAACACAACACAAGAAAAATGCAGCACCTCCAATTTGCGATTAGATGAAAAAAAAACTGTAGTACTTAAGTGGAAGAAGCCAGACACAGAAGGCTACATGATGTATGATTCCATTTACATAACATTCTGGAAAAGGCAAAATTAAAGAGACAAAGATCTAGGGTAACTATTCGGGGTGAGGAAAATATTCTCTAATTGTGGTGGTCATTGCATGACTAAATAACATTTGTCAAAATTCACAGAAGGCCCACCTAAAAAGTATGCATTTTACTGTATGTTAATTGCCCCTACAATAAATATGACATTAAAGATGAAGAGCAAGTGAGTGTGAATGAGATCAAGAAAGCAAGAAGATTATAGACAATTTAAAAAGTAAGACTGTTGAAAAAATATATTGTTAAGAAAAATACCAGTAACTTGAGAGCTGAGACAGGTCTAGTTTAAAAATTGATTAAGGTAAGTGAATATGTCCCAAGAGCAATTATTCAGCTTATATTTCTTTTTGTTTTGAAACGATATAGATTCAGATGATGCTGCAAAGAAAAAAAAATGTACAGAGAAGTCCCTTGCACCCTTTACTCAGCCTCCCCCAGGGGAAGCATCTTGTATAACTATAGTACAGTATCAAAACCAGGAAACTGACATTGGTAGAATCTACAGAGCTTACTCAGATTTTGTATGCATTTGTGTGTGTGTGTTGTGTGTGTGTAGTGCTATGCAATTTTATGACATGTAGCTTCATGTAACCATCACCACTATCAAGACACAGAACTGTTCCATTGCCACAAAGCTCCCTCATACTATCCCTTTATAGACACGTCCACCTTTCCCTCTTCCCGTCCCTAACCCCAGGGAACCACAACTTATCTTTCTCCATCTCTGTTATTTTGTTATTTCAAGAATGTTATATTTTTAATCAGCATAATTCCATTAAAGTCCATCCAATTGTTTGCATGTATCAATAGTTCATTCCTTTTTATTGCTGAGTCATATTCCACGATATGGACATAACACAATTTGTTTATCCATTCACCTGTTGAAGCACATTAATTTCCTGTTTGGGGCTACTACAAATAAAGCTGCTATGAACATTCGTGTATAGTTCTATGCATGAACATAATACTTCATTTCTCTGAATAAATGTCCAAGCGTGCATTTATTGGACAATACAATAAGTGCAGGTTTAATTTTAATAGAAACTGCCAACTGTTTTCCAGACTGTGCCATTTTATATTACCATGAACAGTGCCTCAGTGATCCAGTTTCTCTACATCCTTGTCAACAATTGGTGTTATTACTATTTTCATTTTCACCATACTTGATAGGGTGTAGTGATATCTCATTATAGCTTTGAATTATATTTCCAGGAAAGCTAGATGTTGCATATCTTTTCATGTACTTAGTTGTCATCTGCATACCCCTTCTGTAAAATGTCTATTCATATATTTTGTTCATTTTCTACTTAAACTGGGTTTTTTTAACTGTTGAATTTTTAATATATTCTAGATACAAGTACTTCATCACATATGCAGTTTGCAATTATTTGCTTACAGTGTTTTCATTCTCTTAACCTTTCTCTGAACATGGTTTGTAATTTTCACAAGGCCCAATTTTCCCTTTTATGAAACATGGGTGTTCTTGTTGTCTAATCTAAGAACTGTTCTTCTAGACCTAGGTCCCTAAGATTCTTCAATTTTCTTTTCTAAAAGTTTCACAGTTTTACATAAACTATATGATCTATTTTGGGTTCATTTTTGTATAATGTACAAAGTTTAGGTTTCCCCTATGAATATTCAATTTCTCAACACAGTTTGTTGAAAAGGATATTCTTTCTCCATTGAATAGCCTTTGTACCTATGTCAAAATCAGGCATATTTGTGTAGGTCTGTTGTGGGTTCTCTAATCTGTTCTACGTGTCTATCCCTTCGTCAATACCACATGTTTAATTACTATAGCTGTATAGCCTTATTATTAGGTAAAGTGATTCTTCCCACTTCTTTTTCAAAATTGTTTCAGCTATTCTAGGTCCTCTGCCTTTCCACATAAATTTTAGAAAAAGCTTGACTTGAACAAACACTACAATTAACATGCTTGGACGTGTATCTTTATAGTCTCCTTAAAAATTTTCCAATATACAGTTGGCTTTTTGTATCTATGGGTTGTGCACCCATGGATTCAACCAACCATGTACTGAAAATATTCAGAAAAAAAGAATTCCACAAAGCTCCAGAAAGCAAAACTTGAATTTGCCACACACCAAATACTATGTTGAAACCATGCAAATGAAGTGATGTAGAGGTGTTGCATTAAGTATTTTAAGTAATCTAGAGATGATTTAAAGTATACGGGAGGATTTGAGTAGGTTATATGCAAATACTATGCCATTTTATATGGGGGGCCTGAGCTTCTGTGGATTTGGGTATTCAAGGGGGTCCTGGAACAAATCCCCCCACTGCCAGATATCAAAGGTGACTGTATATAACCAGTAGAAAATACATATTTAACCTAGTGCTGTCAAATTGCTTTCTAGAACAGTGGTACCAATCATTAAATATATTCTTTAATATAATCTGCATTCAAAATATATAATTTCATTAAAATATACTAAATATATTGAGTAGAAGTTGCCAGATACATAGATAATTTAAGTCTACTTTGAAGGTTTATAATAAAAATAAAGCAGTTGGCCTAGATCATCCTAAAGCATTGCCCTGGGACTATAGCTAGTATGTAAGCACATCAGAAATCAGAATGTGAACACAGCATTTATCATTCCTTCTTGAACCAATGGACACTTTTGACCCACCCGTCCTAAGTATGATTTGAGAAGAGGATTCCCAAATTATACTTTCCAGAGACTTTAAGGGCCCACCTCCTTCTACACTAGCTTTCCTTATGTAAAGAGGAAACCCTCTACAATGTCTTACAGATACGCAACGATATTTCACATTTTCAGCGGGTAGGAAATGTAGTTATCCAATAGATAATTTTATGAAACTATGACTAGCAACATTTAAACCAAAATAAAAATTGCCCTTCACAGTAATTCAGTGACATCTTAAATTTTATGCCGTATTCTATCATGCACAAAACCTCTCACATTATTCTGAGGGCTCTGCATGTATTTATTCTGTGCTGTTTTGAAAAGGACTAATTTGAAGTTAATGATACTATCTAATAACTCACAAAGCATAATCAAAAAGCTTAGCTTTAGGAAGACATATACCAACATAAACTACAAACACCCCCAAATGTGATCAGAATGAATAAGTGACGTCAAAACTTTAAAGCCTCTTCTATATATTCTCATTTGGAGAAGGACACTAATAAGACCACGGCGTTTGTTAAGCCAGTCATTGAATAATTTCTCATGGACTCTGTACCTCTGCATGAGTCTGTTAGTTAAACCTTAGATTTTAGTATTCACGTTGGTTTCCATTACAGTGAGAGTCAAAACATAGCAATTTAATACCACTTAATACAATCTGAAATTTCATTTTATTACCAGTGGGCAGCAGAAAAGTCTGCTTTAAAAATGCACCAATTATTATTGTTCATCAAATAATTGTTCTCAATGGCTGGTCTTTGCGAATTTAGAGGGTATTTTTGCCCATAATCCTAAGCACTCACAATGTGACTCTTGGCAGCCCCATCAGGCACAGTAATCCAAGAAGGGATCTAGGAGTTTGGACCACCAACACCCTTCTTCTGCCTGGGCCCTGCAGCACTTCTTATAATGTGACAATTGGCTTCATACCATTTGCCATAACACGCTTAAAGAAAAGCTATCAGACAACTTCTGCCATGAAATGTTTTACTGCCTATCAAATATTGAGGAAAAAATATCCTCCATAAATAAATAAATAATAGCTAATATATGTTGAGTGTTCATTATGTACGAGGCACCAAACCAAGTACTTTACAGGGACTACCTCAATTAATCCTCATTAATTGTAGCCTAGAAGAAGGTACTATTATCGTTCCATTCTACAAGCAAGGATATTGAGGTCCAGCTAGAAGAAGTTACTATTGTTATCCCATTATACAAGCAAGGAAAACTGAGGCCCAGATGGCAAGTCTTGAGACCAGATCCAAACCCAGACCCTTTAACTCTAGACCCTTGTTCTTAAATCCTTAGGCATATTCCCTATCCTATCACAAAATCAGTTTCCCACACCAAAGACCAATGTTTGTTCTACTACAAAGCATCTTCAATTTATTTCTACTTAAGGAAAATAATATTGAATATGTTTCCTAAGTTAACATTCAAGTTAAGTCTATGCCCTGAGGGAATGAAGTCAAATAAAGAGTACAAGAAAACAATATCCTTTAAGGTGCAAAAGTTCGATTATCTTTGTTTATACAAAAGTTAGCCCATAGGCAGCATTACCCTGGAAAAAAATGAGCTCAGCACAGCTATCCAACAATTACCCTTTATTTACTGTTCTCACTCTCTGGGTCTTGAGATGCCATTTCAAGCCCTTTGCCTTCTGCATAAAAGCTATAGCATCTATACCACATTTATTGCTACATATATTTTATGATAAAAGCATAAAGATATGCATGGGTAATTTCCCAGCATGAACAGCTACATTGAGAAATGGTTGTAAAATTTAAGTCCTCTATTTGTCTGAGGAAAGAAAGGTATCTTATTTTTCATTTTATCTTATCCTTTTACCAAATCAATATTATGGATGATGGTGTAATATTTTCATCTTAATCTGATATTCCCCCAAGCCTATAGAAAAAAAAAAGCTGAAATATTAAGAACACTTCTACATTTTTAATAAACTATGTTTCATAGTTTACAATAAGTTATTATGCCATTTTATAATTTTAAATTTGACAGTAATGTCACTTACACAAACTGCAAATATTTCTAATTAGATAAGAAATAATATAATAAAAATATATCAGCCCAGCATGGTGGCTCATGCCTGTAATCCCAGCACTTTGGGAGGCTGAGGTGGGTGGATCACTTGAGGCCAGGAGTTCGAAACCAGCCTAGCCAACATGGTGAAACCCTGTCTCTACTAAAAACACAAAAATAAATTAGCCGGGTGTGGTGGCATACACCTATAATCCCAGCTACTCAGGAGGCTGAGGCATGAGAATTGCTTGAACCCAGGAAGTGGAGGTTGCAGTGAGCTAAGACCACGCCACTGTACTCCAGGCTGGGCAACAAGTAAGACTCTGTCCCCCCACCAAAAAAAAAAAAGACAACAAAGAGATATTATTTAAATGATTGATAACTATTAATATTGTTTGGTTAAAAGAATTTGATTCATATAAGAAGAGCAAATGTGTTCCTATTATGAGAATTACCACTAAGACTTCAAAATTGAGTCCCAAGAGTCTTAAGTTCACCATAGAACTTTACTTGCTAACTGGGTTATTGACTAATAAATAATTCTATTTTCAATTTTTACATAAGCATGTTGTATATTTTATAAAGTGAAAACAAATTTCTCATATACAAACTCATGATTTTCATCATATAACTTTATACAATGCTATCGCATTATACATATTCCCCCTTCAAAGTTTGTTATAAATTTAACTCAGGTTGATTTATTTATTTGCATTATTTCTTGAATGCCCTTTACTCTTAAATTATGCTAAATATTGGCAATATGTTTTGTTGTGTAGAATTGTGAATTATATCAAAATCAATTGTATTTTCATATCTAGATATATTTTATTACAGAAATATGTCTATCACTTTACAGAGCCAGACAGTTAGAGGGACACTGGAAATCTCCTGGCTCTTCCAAGACCATTAATTACTCTTCTACCCTGTATAAGCTTAGCCTCCACTGGATGTCTCTGTCACACCACCAATTTCCTCCTTTCTTTGAGAACTCTGGAGAAACAGGTCACAGTTTGTCTCACTCCAACTCTACCAACAGACTTGGAGACTCAAGTCCATGTGGAAGCCCCTCCTACAGCCTGGGCTTCTTTAATCCACTACCCTCCAGGCACCTACATCACTGATGCAACCCTGATATATTTTACCATTATCAGGATGCCCTGGGCTTCAATTCTTTTCTTACTATGTCCAGGGCCCACTAAGGATCATAAGAGATATAGAAGCTGACCACATCTTGCCACCTCCACTGCAAACACCCAAGTCACCACGGTGCCTCTTTTCTGTAGGCTATGATAGATTAGACAACTAGATAGAGTGCTTATTTTATTTTTTATTTCATTTTATTATTTTTTAAGACAGGGTCTTGCTCTGTCTCCCAAGCTGGAGTATAGTGGTGCAATCATGGCTCACTCCAACCTTCTTTTCTTTTTTTTAATTTCAATAGGTTTTTGGGGTACAGGTGGAGGAGTTTGGTTACATGGATAAGTTCTTTAGCGGTGACTTCTGAAATTTTGGTGCACCCATCACCCAAGCAGTGTGCACTGTACCCAGTGTAGTCTTTTATCCCTCACCCCCCTCCCACCCTTCCTCACGAGTCCCCAAAGTCCATTGTATCATTCTTATGTCTTTGCATCCTCATAGCTTAGCTCCCACTTATCAGTGAGAACATACGATGTTTGGTTTTTGATTCCTGAGTTACTTTACTTAGAAAAATGGTCTCCAATTCCATCTAGGTTGTTGCAAATGCCATTATTTTGTACCTTTTTATAGATGAGTCATATTCCATGGTATATACATGCATATACACCACATTTTCTTTACCCTCTCATTGATTGATGGACATTTGGGCTGCTTCCATATTTTTGCAATTGCAAATTGTGCTGCTATAAACACATGTGTGCAAGTGTCTTTTTCATATAATGACTTCTTTTCCTCTGGATAGATATCCAGTAGTGGGATTGCTGGATCAATGTAATCAGGGTAGTTTACATTCCCACCAGTAGTGTAAAAGTGCCCCCTTTTCACCGCATCCATGCCAACATCTATTTTTTTTTATTTTTTAATTATCGCCATTCTTGCAGGAGTAAAGTGGTATTACACTGTGGTTTTGATTTGCATTTCCCGATAATTCGTGATGTTGAGCATGTTTTCATGTTTGTTCATCATTTGTATATCTACATTGATTAGAAGTGGTGAAAGTGGGCATCCTTGTCTTGTTCCAGCTCTTGGCGGGGAATGTTTTCAAGTTTTCCCCATTCAATATAATGTTGGCTGTGGGAAGACAGTGATTATTTTACAATCAAATCACACCTATCATAAAAACTCCTGTTTCAGAATAAATGCCTAACAGGCCCCAGACGACCTGGCCTCGGTGATATCCTTTCCGATCACCCTCCGTATGCCCCACACATGCTGCCTCCTTGCTGCTATTCCTCTGACAGCTGAGGCCCACCTCTACTTTACAGCTATTTCCTGGTCCTGGAATGTGTTTCTCCCAGGTATCCACATGACTAACTCCTTCACTCTCTTCAAATTTTTGCTGAAATGCCACTTCTTCCCTGATTATCCAATTTAAAATTGCAGCCCTCTAGTATTTCCATCCCCCTCACTCTGCTCTATATATTTTTCTAAACATTTAATACATCCTAACTTGTATCTGTTATTATGTTTGTTTATTTTCTATCTTTCCTGGCTGAAATGGGAACTATCAAGACAGGGATCTTTGTTTCATTCACCCATGCATCCAAGCACTTTAAACAGTGCTGGCACATTCAGGCTGCCCCATGATTGTTGGATGGATGAATGGACCTCCTACCACCTTCAGCCTTCCACTGTACCTGCTCAACCACGTGTCAGTGCTCCTCTACTTGTACTTTCTCCCTAGGCACTAGGAAAGGATGAAAACGAAAGCAGTCACACCATCATAGATACAAGTTTTACTATTAATTACATGTCTCCAATGTTAACCTTCTACCTGGTTTTTGGTTAATTACCTTTTCTATTTCCCACAAAAACTATTTCAAACTACATACGCACTTCCATTTCATGTCATCCCCTGTGCTGCGGCAGGGTGCATTGTCCCTATGCACATGGCTATTGAGTGTGGTCACCCCAAAAATTGAGTGTTCTGACAACAGGCAGAAGGAAGAACAAGATGCTGTCATGTGCTATATGCCACATAATAACCATGACAAATGCAAATTAACATCTCATGATAAAGTAAAAGGTAAAAATAGATACATTATTGAGTTTTAAAATAACGTCTTAGATATTTTTTATAGTATCATTATTTTATCTTTACTGTAAAACTAATTAATGTGGTCACTAACCATCATAGATAAAATTTTGTAGGGTCTTGAAAAAACAAACCATAAGACCTCAAAATACTGAAAATGTTATTTTTTAAACTAATTAGTTACATTGGATATTTAACAGGGTAAGCCATGCTTCCAAAAACTAAATATTTTGATACAAAAATAGCTATGAAAAAAGCCCTATCAAAAAAGCTGGCAAGTAATGTAATACATCAAGATACATTTTAACAAAATTTGTTAATAGAATTTATAATAGTAATAGGATAGTAATAATTTGTGATCAAATTATTACGCAATTTTACTGTAACTTTGTTCTTCACATAAAATAGACTTAAATGTATTCAAATGCTCCCTCAGTCTTTGTCTTTCCACCAGCCTCTTATAAATAGGGAAATACCCTACTTTCAATATTAAAACATTTTACTGCATAGAAATAATAATTCCATGACACGTGTTTGCAAAATATGTTAGTTGATACCATTGGCAAAAAAAAAAAAAAATCCCATATTCATATGCTAAGTGCACAGGGCTAAACTAGAAAACAAAACAAAACACCCACGTGAATTTTACTTTTTACAGCATGCAAGTTTTATATATCATTATCAATATAATTTTTAAGTTTGTTCCACGGGGTAAAAATTTTTTTAAAGAATTCATAAATATTGAATTACAAAATGAGTGTCATACCACACAATGCTTACATTACAATTTTCCCTTGATATATATTTTCACACATTAATTAGAAAAATGCTATTTTAATTAAGCTGATTTTACTTTTTCCTAAAATATTTAGTATAAGAAATAAAAAATCATTTAAATACAATATATTTTGGATCTTAAAAAAATTATTAACTTTGCAGATTATTATTGCTTTTAAAAGCAAACATTCCTAAGATAAATTGGTTCTCTTTTAAAAGAAGCTAATAATTGTTTATTTCTTTCCATGGATTGCAAAAGTTAACATTTTGCAAAAAGAAAAAAAAAAGTTAACATTTGGAAATATAAAATGAACTCAATTTAACTAATACTAAAAAAAAAGATTATACACTTTGTCTATACCTTATACAGGATCACCATACTTTGTATGTTTGGTTTGGAAAAATTGTTACTCCCAAAATATCTAACAGACAACAGGCTGATCAAAAAGCATTCAGTTTACATTCATCCTCAGAGCCCTGCGGTGGGTATTTAATATTTCTCTGCTTATATAATAAATGTAAGAGACTGGAAGATACATTATCTCACTATCTGGGGAGGAGAGGAGAGTATCACACAAGAATGGGAGATCTCTGGGCCAGAGAGAATGAGCTGAGAATGGCGGCTTCATGGATTGATGTTGGAGGGCTGAAAAAGACTTGCAAAAATAGAAATCAACATTCAATTTGAAATTATTGAAAGTATGTGGTCTTTAGACTTTGTCTTCCTCTATAATCATCATTTCATAAAAGTTATTTTACACATACATCATGAGTGGGTTGCATGTATATAATGTGTGTGTGTTTTGGGAACTGGAAATTGAGAAAAAAATCATATACAGCTAATATGACAGGAAAGAGGCAGACAACAGCAAATTTTTTAAAAGCAAGGGAGCAGAGGTAGGAGTGACTATGTGACTGCAAGCCTTGGGATGTGCAGAAACTTCGTGGGGAGCTTGGATTTCTATAGCACATAAAAAGAAATTCCAATTACTTTAGTTAAAACTTTAAGATGTAGAAATCCAATGTGATATCTGTACCTAGGACAGAAATTTTAAATACATACAAAATACAACATGGTATACATCCTCTAAGTGTGTACACATGTTGGTATGATTTATTCATAAGGGAAAATAAATAAAATACAAAATAAAGAACTGCATGTGAAGTGATATGCAGACACCCTAATAATCAGAGAGGACCACACATTTAGAAAACAAGATACAACATCATTATCAGTTCAGTAAAACTTTTAAAATTCTGACAATACTTAAGTGTTAGGAAAAATGTGAAAATATGACAATGCACACAAACCACTAGAGTGAGTTTCAATTGGTTTTGCTACTTAGAAGAGCAATTTTAGTAAATATCTAGTAAAGTAAACAAGTGCATAGCCTATAAACCACAATTGTGCTTCTATGTGTGAACCCTGGAGAAACAAGCACTCACGGAGATATCAAGAATGTTCACTGCAACATTTTAAGTGCAAAAATAGGTTACAAATTATTAAAATATCCATCAACAGAAGAATGAATAAACGTCACATATTTATAAAAATGAATTTTATAAATCAAATTAAATGGATAAAAGGGATGGATAGATAGACACACAGATTAATCTCAAAAACATAACTAGTTGTAATCTCCCAAATGTCCTGTCCTTTACTCAACACATAAGTAGCGTTCAAGAGTCATTTCTATGATTCCCTCTGCATAAGATTAAATGAATATAAGCATGGCTGTAGTCCCAGCTCAGGAGGCTGAGGTTGGAGGATTATTTGAGCAACAGAGTTTGAGCCCAGGGGTTTGAGAAATTGAATATCTTATTTTAAAAAGCAGGTGAATCTAGAATGAGAATATAAATATAATTTATGTATTTTCTTCCTTTATGCTAACAGATACTAGCTACTGTTAGGGAAGAAGAAAGGAGGGAAGGAGAGAGAGAATCTCTTGTTTTATTTCACAAGTCTTCTTGCTAAGTATCATTCATTTATTCATGCAGTTCATTTAATTATATTTGCTGAGTATCTGCTCTGAGTTTCAAAAATTAAAAACAAATAGCAAAATGATAAATATCTGATTAAATGTCAATTCATCTAGCCAATAGATGTACAGTTCTTACATTGAAAAGATTTAACTGAAAGTGTATTTAATATAAAATCAAGAACTGTTTCACCAGCTATAAGCAAATTACTGTGCTTGCAAGATGAGATTACCATAGCCATAGGTGATATTATCATAACTATCATCTGTCAGAATTAAAACAACTAAAAGTTTACTTCTTAGAGTTTAAAAAAGAAACTTGGAAAAGTAAACCTGATCTTAGATCTATAGTTAATATTTTTCTACTATTGATATTATTTCATATGAAGCAAGCTTTATTTCCAGCTGAAAAGTAATTTAAGCTCTTGCAACTTTTATCTAGAACAGGAAAATTGCTTGGTTTCTCATAATTAATATAAGCCTGTTGACGCCGATTCAAAAGAAACAATTTTTAACATTGCAGAGATAAAGGACAGTTGAATAAAGACCAATTGCACTGATAGCTGCTGTATTAGATAACACACTAAACCATGCACTGCCTAAAACTGAACAAGGAAAAGAATGCAATCCCATTCAGCATGCCACTGACATAAACACTATCATGTGCCCCTTTATAGTTTAGAAATTAATAAACTAATAAATATGTCGGCATATTAGGAGTCTGAATGATCCAGTAAAAGTATAATGGATTTAACATTTTGACACTGTGTACAATCTAAGTACCTAATGATGCTGGCACCCAGTAGGTGCTCAAAAGATATATTAAATGCATCAACAGAGGAATAAAAGAAAGGAAGAAGGAGGAGGGAGGGAGGAGAGAGGAAATGAATCTCTCATTTTATTTCTGAACCATTTTCTTGCTAAGTACCATTCATTCATTCATTCCTTTATTCATATAGTTAATTTACTTACATTTGCTGTATATCTGCTCTCAGTGCTACACATAGAAATAAGTCTCCCCAACACTACCAGCCTAGGCTGCCTGTTCTCTTAATCTTGATCAAGTAATTCTTAATGTTAAAAATAGCAATACGCCTTTATTCTTCCTAGGAAAAATTTTAAATATAGTCCATTTCTGTAAAGTATAGCTGAAGTGACTTAAATAAGATTAATGTGCTCTATGCTTGATATTGTAACATTTATATAAATCTATTTGTCTTCATATTCATTAATATATTTGAATATTAACTATATCCTGTGTCTTTTGCTATATATATACATATATACTTTAGTTTTACAGTAGCAGCTATACGATAGCTATACACTTTACAGTAACCAGTATCTGTTAGCATAAAGGATAAAAATCCGTAAGTTATATTCATATTCTCAATTCACCTGCTTTTTAAATATATTTAATTTCAAGCATATTCCTACATTTCATTAAAAATAGCAATCATTTTTTAATAAATTCCTGAATCTAACATTTCAACCCCAGAGGACAGGCTTGCCAATCTTTCAAAAACATATAATCAAGGAATCAAAATATAATTAGCCAAGAGATGAAATCAAAAAAAAGTTAAATAATTTTTGTTCTAAATGTCACTTAGACTCTAGCAATAACATTTTTTTAGAATAATGCATTTCCAGTTATATATATAACTGGAAATTTTCCAGAATAAAGACTTAGTATCCACCATATATTTTAGAAATATATGAGCATAATGAAGTTGAAAGAAATAAGAAAAGGTTCATTTCTAAGGAAAGATATAACATTTTAACCTTATCTTCCAAATATTAACACAAAACACAAGCTTCCAATAGTGTCCTCTAAAATATTATTTTTTATTTTTTGAAAGTCATGTTGAAATTTTTGCATAGTTACAAATTAAAAAACTAAATTTCATTATTTTATTTAAACAGAGATTTAAAAATTGAAAAATATATAAGCTGGATAAGAGTTGTTTTTTACAGAAGATGACTCTCCATCAATTTCCCCTATTTCTCCATGCATCACACCATACTGTCATGTATAAAGAAACAAAATATTTATAACAAATATTTCCAAAATATTTTTAAAGCAGAAAATCTTATAGCAAAACCACCAATGGGAAACAAACTCTTGTATTATCCTGGGCTGTTCTGCTTTATTCATGAACATTACTAAGCCCCTGAAAATGAAGAACAGTTATTGTTTGCACTGTGACAAAGCCAACATTCCTCCTTGCAAACAGCACTACTTATTTATGAACAGCAACTGACATAAGGGTAGCAGTTTTCTTTTTCTGCCCTATAAAATACTTCATGGATGATTGCCCTTAGAATATAGTGAAGTCCCAGGTCATAATCATGAGTCCTTCTAAAAACAGATTTTTGGCCAGGCATGGTGGCTTATGCCTATAATCCCAGCACTTCGGAAGACCAAAGTAGGTGGATGAGTTGAGCTCAGGAGTTCAAGACCAGATGGGGCAACAGGGCAAAACCCTATCTCTATAAAATATCAAAAATTAGCCAGGCAAGGTGTCATGAGCCTGTAGTCCTAGCTACTCGGGAGGCTGTAGTAGGAGAAACACTTTAGCCTGGCAAGTTGAGGCTGCAGTGAGCCATGTGATCACACCATTGCACTTTGGACTGGGCAACAGAGTGAGACCCTGTCTCATAAATTAAAAATAATAGAAAAAATGAAAATAAATAATAAATAAAAGCAGATTTTTGTCTGTTTTGTTCATTTTAAGAAAATGTGGGCTGGGCATGGTGGCTCACACCTGTAATACCAGCACTTTGGGAGGGCGAGGTGGGTAGATCATGAGGTCAGAAGTTCAAGACCAGCCTGGTCAACATGTTGAAACCCCGTCTCTACTAAAAATACAAAAATTAGCTGGGCATGGTGGCACACATCTGTAATCCCAGCTGCTCGGGAGGCTGAGGCAAGAGAATCACTTCAACCTGGGAGGCAGAGGTTGCAGTGAGCAAAGATCATGCCACCGCACTCTAGCCTGGGTGACAGAACAAGACTCCACCTCGGGGAAAAAAAAAAACAAACAAACAGAAGAGTTGTCCTAGAGGCTAATTCTAGCCTAAATGGAATATACATAGGCAGTGGACTACAGAGCCCAGTGTGAGTTTCACATAGGATAATCTTAGGTCTCTTCTAACAACAGCTGTCAGCATGGCTTCCTCTCTCCCTCATGCATTTTTAACCTCCCAGCCTTCATCTAACAATAGTGTGCCCTCTGCTAAATCCCCAGACCCAAGTGATCATCCTCACTGGCTGTATTCAAAAGTTTGCTCTAAAAAATATGTTTCCGTGGGGTCACATAAGGTCCATGAGGAAAGAGACCATACTACATCCCAGTCCAATGTCTTTTATAACCTACAATATAACTCGGAAAACAGATTAATATTGTTGAACTAGGAAATATAAATGAACTATTTGAAAACTAAAAAATCAAAATGTAGCACATCTACTTAACATCATTTGAGAAGTTAATTGATTTCTCTATCAAATTTCTCTCAAGTAGACGTTTCCCAAAAAAAATGTGTTGGCTGCTTCCTTCTTATAAAGACTTTATATTGTTTTCAGATATTTTAATTGCACAGAAATTAGATGGAGGGCATTTTACTTAATGATAAGGTAGCCTGCTCACTTATGGTACAGCAAAGTGATCTCTTGTACTGCTTTTGGCATATATATTTAAGCTTGTTTTTAAGGAAATAAGCCTAAAGCTACTTATTCAATTCAATAAAAGTGGGTATTCTTATAAGTGAATTTGGTTCCAGAAAAGTTAGCCTTTAGGCAAATTTCTTTTAAATTTGTCTTCCCTTGAGCTTCTTAAATAAAACTTGACATCTACTAAGGAAGAAATTATAATTTATTATTAAAAAATCATATTTAAGAATGTCTCTATATTTTTTATAATTAATTTTTAAATAGCAAAACTCAACCTAATGAATAAAGCAGATAAAATTTAGTAAACAGAAAACAAAGGTTTACATAAAATTAGCTGACACTTCAATAGAGACGATCTCCTTAACATATATTTCTACTACTGAGATGGTTATCACTAAACTTTTAGCAGTATCACCAAAACTTTTCACCAGCCTCAATCCATCTTAAAAGTCTAAATATTCCAGGTTTCCTAACCCTTTGAACGTAATGTGCTCTATCTTGATCACATATCCAAGATTCAATATGAATCCAGTCCACCTTTTTAAGCATATGACCACCTATCACAAACTCCATTCTGCTCAGACTGATATATCCACTGCGTGGCCTCCAAAATGTATATTTCATATTGTACCTACTATCCTTTTCATTGGAAGAAAATATAATTTTCTGTAGATGGTTAACGGCTTCTAACTCAGCTAAATCACAAATCTTGGTTTAAAATGTATATCAGTAAATTTTCCTCCAACAATTTCACATGAATAAATCCTACAATAGAAATAAAGTTGTTTTGTAAGGCATCTAAAAAAGCAGCTAAATTTATAAAACCTTAAAATCTGACATTTCACGCTTTCTACAAAAAAGCATTAATTCATCATGAACTACACTTTAACTTAAATTTTATTCTGATTTATTGCATTTATTTTATTTAATAACTATCATTTTAAAAATTAAAGAGCTCTGTGATTTACTTATATATGTACACCAAGCAAATTATTCAAATAGATTGACATTAATGTACTTATTTAAAAGGAATACTAACAGAAGTTATATTCTGCATTGACCAAAGGTAATAATTTGAAAAGCTGTATAATCTAGATATTTTCATTCTAGTCATATACAGAATAGCTAATGCTTTATAAGAAGAAAAATAAATTAAGCTATTTTATTGTAGTAATAAGGAATTTTACAGAAGAGATGACTAAAATAAGAAAAACATCATGTATTTTTCAGTGTGCCTTGTAATTTTATAACCTATTAATTTTATATCTGAACATATTGCTTGAATTAAGGTTGAGTTCTGGTCTTAAATGACCCTTAAACATCCAATTAACATTTCCTGTTTTACTATTTATCAGACTTGCTTGCACTTTGATATATTCCACTGGTGTTCTTATGAAAACCATATGAGATTAGAGCAAGGAAATTTAAAGAGTATTTCTTCAAATAACAGGGGCCTGTTGCGGGGTCGGGACGCAAGGGGAGGGAGAGCATTAGGACAAATACCTAATGCATGCAGGGCTCAAAACCTAGATGACGGGCTGATGGGTGCAGCAAACCACCATGGCACATGTATACCTATGTAACAAACCTGCATGTTCTGCACATGTATCTCAGAATTTAAAGTAAAATTTTATATAAAATAAAATTATGAGACATCCAAAAAAAATTTTTAGTAGATAAATCTATAATTACCCAGTAAAAAGCAATGAGATTTTATGTTATAGAACTTTTCCATGAAATCTAATAATTATGTCTGTTCATATTAAAGTACAGCTATGAGTCAGAATGTTGGCAGACCTGGAAGAACCCTATAGCAGTATATATTTCCAACGATCATTTCACTAACATAACAGTCCAACTCAGTTTCCCCAATCCAACTCAGTATATACTCCCACAATGACCTCAGAAACAAGTTTTGAAGGCTAGAAAAAGTTAAAACCTCATTTTATACCCGAATATTATGTAAATACAAGGAAATAAACCCAGCCAAGTTTGCCAACGTAACTATCTTAGGCAAATTACATAACACGGCCAGTCCTTAGTTGCAGAATTCAAGATCCACTTACCTTGAAAAGCAGCCGCATTTCGAGATATTAGAAACTTTAATGTAGAGCTGGACGTTTGAAGAAACTGCTGCATATCCTGGCGAGCCGCAATCTGATATCTCTCCTCCATCTTCCTGGTGCAACATGTAGGCTTTTTGGATATGCAAACCTGAAGATCAGGTCCTGGAACACACAACATTTTTCAGAATGATTACCTGTTCATTTAACAAGTATTACATATTATATATCAGGCGTTATGACCAGTCCTGCACACAAAGGACTATGTGAGGAATGGATTTGCTAGAGTACTTGCTATAAGAAAGTTTATCTATTGCTCATTAACACAATCATAAACAAAATATTCTAAACCATTAACTCTTTGCTCAAATATTATATTAACTTCTTGGTCAAATATTAAGTATCTCCACTCAATAGAAAGCAAATTAACTACTATGAAGTACAGCGCTCAATCAAGAAAAAGGTTTTTTGTGGGTTTTTTGCTTATTTTATCAATTCAGCCAAAATTGCTTGAAAGAAATATGTTATAGATAATTATGTGGACTAAAAGAATTGCTTTTCATGGGGAAATGAAACTGAATTTTGAACATCACATAAAGGTCAAAAAACTTGACCTGATTTCTCAGCTGCCATCAGGCTCGTGCTGCTTGTGAAGTAGGCTATCTCTGCAATAATGACATGCTGGGAGATCAAGGCCCCCATGGGCCCAAGCTCAGCATCCAAGATTCCACTCACTATATAGCTGGCGAGAGACAATCCCCTCCTTTAAAAGCACTTTTTAGTTGTACAATCATGTTTAGAAGGATCCTGTGAAGATGTATATTGCATGAAATGTAAAGTTATTAATATATGAAATGTAAGAGTTATGGTTACAAAAAAACCTTTGCTAGTATCACTAAACTTTCATCCTGGTAGGGACCCAGGACAAGCACCTTTATGCACAGCAGATATGCTAGAGGACAGAGAGGAAAGATGTGGAGCACAAAGAGTTAGTGCCCAAAGAGGAAACCCTGATGGAGAGAGCTGATGTGAGCCCCAGGGCATTCCAAGGCTACTAGATTATAAGTAAAGCTCAGGACAATTTTATTTACATAATGGCCTAATACGGTTATTTCCTTACTTTAGAATAACAAGAAGAATTGTGGCCCTTAATCTCTGTGAGTTTCACAGGTTCCACATTAGTTCTTCATCAACTAATTTTAGATCAGTAAAATAGGTGCATGCACACAGACATACACACAAGACGCATGCACATAACAACCACCTTTCAAGCCCTTCCTACTTTTTCCACACAGAGTTGGCCTCAGGTCTCAAATTTCCAAAAGTTGGTTCTGGGTCAGCTGAAAATATATGAAACCACTCTGAGCTTCCTATCAACATGGGACACCAAAATCTCTAACGATTTTGGCTGTAGTTTAAGTCAGACAAATAACAAATGACAGAATTTTGACACTTTACAAAGGCTAAGAAGCATAAAATATTCGTAAGTGTCACAGTAGGTAACATTTTGGCAATCGTTTTTCACTTATCTTACCTAAAGTTACGTAAGAGCAAATTCTACTTCAAACAGTAAAATTATTTGAAAAAAAAAAAAAAGCTATCTTCTCAGCTTTATTCCTAAATTGAAGGATTGAGGAATTAGCATCCAGAGAAAAGCAATAATAGAGATTGAGGAAAAGAACTAACGAATAAATATTAAAGTATATAAACATATTTAGTGTAGGAAAGACTGCTGAGGAATAAAAAGAACAATAACAGCAGATCATAGCAAATATCTCTTTGGAATTTAAATATATAACACTGTTGTGTTAGACCAATTCCTAAACATGGCCTGTGAAGGCCTCCAAGTTGTGATCCTTCCTTTCCTCCCTCCCTCTCCAGTCTCATCTCCGGAAACATTGGCCTTTGTACTCTTCCCATCACACTCTGGCCTTATTTCAGCTCTCTGTGTTCACCAAGCTCTCTCTTGTCACAGAACCATTTTCCATGGTCTCTTCTCTGTCTCAGACACACTTACCCTACCTGTTCTCATGCGCGCATGCAGCAAACCCTCAAAGATTGACTTATCTCTCCTTGGCACATTTCCATCAGTATCGCCTATAAGATAAGCTTAAATAATTTAGAGTTGGGTCACAGTGAAAAGGGAAAAGAGTTGACAGGAAATGTGTTCCCTAAGTTACTATATCAATCCAAAAGACAGACAAGATGAACAAAATCCTCAGGGAAAGAGCTATCTCTTACATTTTGTTCACAGTATCAGCACAAAGGGCATAATAAGATGTTTGGGTGATATAAAGCCCAGGCTCCTATTGTAAATAGAACAGGCATCATAAGAAAACAAAGCTAGAGTGAACCCAGATACTATTATGCATGGTAACTAGAGGTATCTGAAGATTTCAATGCCTGGCTTCGAGGAACATGGCATGATCCTAGAATTCTATGAGACAGCAAGAGTACACAACCCAGGCTCTGGAGTGACAGTCATGTTTCTAAACAGTAAAATCAAACTCCAAAAGAAACAGAGTACTAAAACAAAACCAAAAATAAAACAGTAATGTGCCTCAATGAAGGAGACTTCAACCAGAATTGTGGGGATGTTTCTGAATTCTCACCCAGAAGCAGCAGTAGTGGTTAATACGTCTTCCTTTCCATTCTCTAGCATAAGAAATTTACAGATATCTACATGCCTGTATATTTTCAATATGTTAAATAGGAACATCAGGAGGTATTCTGGAAATATGGTGGCAGTGGCAGCATAGTTTTCACTATCTCCAAATCTCCACATAAAACCAGATGGAACTAGAAAACAAACCCCCAAAAAACAAAAACAAAATTAGATGACATGATATCCCCACAAACTTTAAAATACAAACAGAATGGGGAGAAACCAGGAATAGGCACAAGATCTTCACAGTAACAGAGCAGGGCACAGGGTAGAAGAAAGATGCAACAGAGGAATGTCTGAAGGATCTGAGATCAGGAGAACCCCAAAATAGTGAGCAGGAGTGACAGGAAAGCACAGCGACCCACTTGAGAATACAGTAGCTCCCCATTTAACCATGGTTCCACTTTCTATGCTTCCAGTTCCCCACAGTCACAGTCTGAAAATATTAAATGGGAAATTCCAGAACCAAAAATCTTATAAGATTTTGCTTGGGCATGGTGGCTCATGCCTGTAATCCCAGCACTTTGGGAGGCCAAGGTGAGCAGATCACTTGAGGTCAGGAGTTCGAGACCAGCCTGGCCAACATGGCAAAACCCCATCTCTACTAAAACTACAAAAATTAGCTGGGCATGGTGGCATGTACCCATAATCCCAGCTACTCAGGAGACTGAGGCAGGAGAATCACTTGTAGCTGGGAGATGAAGGTTGCTGTGAGCCGAGATCGTGCCACTGCCCTCGAGTCTGGGGGACAGAGCAAGATTCTGTCTCAAAACAAACAAACAAATAAACAAACTGATAAGGCTTAAATTGCTTGCTGTTCTGAGTAGCACAATGAAATCTCATGCCTTCCTGATTCATCCCACCTGGGGTGTCGATCACCCCTTTGTCCAGGAGATCTCCGCTGTCTATGCGTCCCACCAGTTAGCCACTTTCTAGCCCTCCTGGTAGTCAAGAGGACACTGTCCTGGTATGGCAGTGTATGTGTTCAAGTAACCTTTATTTTACTTCAAAATGGCTCCAAAGCACAAGAGTAATAATACTAGCAATCTGGATTTGCCCAAAGTGCTTCGCTTAAGTGAAAAGGTGAAAGTCAGTTAAGAAAAGAAAAAATAACGATATGCTGAGTTTACTAAGATCTACATAAGAATGAATCTTCTATCCATGAAACCGTGAAGAAGGGAAAAATAATTTGTGCTAGTTTTGCCATCGCAACTCAAACTGAAAAGTTATAGCCACAGCACGTAAGTCCTTAGTTAAGATGGAAAAGGCATTCAATTTGTGGGTGGAAGACATGAACAGAAACATGTTCTGACTGACAGCAGTTGGGTTTGGTTCTATCTGATGCTTCGGGGATCTACTGTGGGTCTTGAAACATATCCCCTACAAGTAAAGCGGGGCTCCTACAGCAGCTGAAACTGGGAGAATTTTGCCCCCTCAATCATTAAATGTGTTCTATCGACCCATGATAGAAAAGAAGGAACAAGAGCAGTCCCCACCCCAGTAAACAATCAAACAGGTTCAGCAGGGCTCCTTTCCAGGACAGAACCACACACAGAAGAGAAATGCTGTAAGTGAAATCAAAATTCAACAGAACAGGGATTCAAGACACATAGAGAAAGTCTAGCCCAAAGTGCAAAGGAAAATAAATCCAGAAAATAACATAAAATGAGCTGCCATATTTTTAAACACTACACAAAATTAACAGAAGAGGAAGCTCTGCAATGTTACAGAAGCTATGCTGAAGCCTGTCTCAATAAAAATGTTCAGAAAAACAAACACTAACTTCATATAAAATGAACAACAAAAATATTGAGGTCGATACTCAGAGTTACTATAATAAAAAAGAGAATAAGAAACAGAATAATATCCCACAGACAAGAAAAAATATGCTGGAATGATATGCTCCCTCCAAAAAAGATCAAAAACTTAGCCATACTATTTCAAAACAAGCTGAAAGACAATGACACAAAACATGAAAGAACAACATATGTCAGAATTTTAAAACTCAGATATGAGGTGATAGTACTCAGGATAAAAATTAAAGATAAAAGAAAATAATTCTAAATGAAGCCTTACTAGAAGGAACACAAGAGCCAATCACACAAACGTAATGCCTTAAGAGAAACAGAAAATGAAAAATAAAAATTTTGAAAAATCAAAAAGAATGAAGGAATTTGAAAGATAGTGACAACAAATACCAAAGTGAGATATTGATCATGTAAGCCCCTGAAGAAAAAAAACAGGATAAATACTAAAAACTGTATTTTATGTCATCTGAAATTGTTGTGAGTCTAATATGGGATAAACAAATAAGCAATTTTGGAATGTTCTAATTCTATCCTCTAATTCCATCCTGTATTCTTGAAAATCCGGATCTTTAGTGTGGAAAAACGGAGATACAGACATGATAAAGAAGACGTTAAGTAAGACTCTGTAATCTTGAATTTGAATTATAAGTACCAACATGAACTCATAAAGAATTTTACCTTTAAAATGTATATAATTCCTACCTTCCCTGAAAAGACCCCAAAACAACGACTAACCAGATAGCAAAGGGCATTCCTCATGCTTGGATTATGGTCTTGAAGCATCATTTCCTCAAGAAGAAATCAGCGCTTCTTGAAGAAATGACTCATTCTTCTGGGGCAGAAAATCTGTCAGATGACAGTCTGACTAAAACATCTTACGTAGCAGATAGCAAAGAAGCTATCAAATAACTACCAGGCCATATCAAAAGAACACAGAAGCTGTGTTAGTCTGCTTGGGCTACCATGACAAAATACTACAGACTGGAGCTTAAACAACAGAAATTTATTTTCTCACAGTTCTGGAGGCTAGAAGTTTAAATTCAGGGAGCCCACTGGGTTGGTCTCTCGTTGGCTTGCATCTGACCATCTTCTCTCTGTGCCCTCACATGGCCATTTCTCTGTGCATGCAGACTTCTGGTGTCCCTTCCTCTTCTTCTGATGACAACAGTCACGTTGGATTAAGGTCCTACCCTTGTGGCCTCATGTAACCTTAATTACCTGTTTAAAGGCCCCATCTCTAAATACAATCACATTGGGAGCTTTAATATAAATATTGGGGAGACATGATTTTGTTCATGAAAGAAGCCACCCTCAAAATGTTTGCAGTGGCCAAATATGAGACAATTCGAGTTTCAATAATAATTGTAATGGATTGCAACCAATCAAATATGCTTAAATCCATGGGACTGTATTGATTTTTTAAAGTTTGTCAGCTTTACAGGATGATGAGGGAAGATTATATTAATTTGGAAAATAGTAAATAAAAAGAAAGAAGCAAATAGGTATCCTTCCTTTTGGATATGAACTGTACCAGTAAATAATCAAACAGCAGATGGGAGAAGCCTCCTTTCATAATAAACAATAAGAGAAATAATAAACTTTGAATGTCACCATTAATCTCCAAGGAACTGATGGATATAGGCATTAAGCAACAGTAGCTGCTAAAATCACAGAGACAACCAGACCTTAAGTGCCTCCTATAGTCCCTGCCAAATACCAACTAACGTCTTGCCGAAGGAATCAAACATGAGTCTGATCTTGTCTCTGAATCCAGCTGCCAAATTGGAAGAAACACAAAGCACTAAGGAACATTTTTGTATGTCACCATGAGAATGCAATCAGCAATATACAGACTGGAAAACTGAAAGCCAAATGGTCCAGATTCTCAACAGATACATAAGGAAAAGAAAGAGATGGAGGGAGACCTGGTATGTTACAAGAGTTATACAAAATAAAGTTCTAGAGATCTGTTGCACAACACTGTGCTTACAGTTAGCAATACTATAACATGCACTTAAACGTTTATTAAGAGAGTAGATGTCATGTTCTATATTTTTATCACAATAAAAAAGGAGAGACATAGAAAATATAACAAATGTTCTTTAAATGGGCAACACATGGAAATGATAAAAACTACTTTTTAACAACAAAAAAGGAAATCATTATAAAAATAGTACAGTGGTGACTTTAGTGATAAGAAAATATTTTGTTAATAGGATGGGACTCATGGAAGGACTTTCAAGATACTGACAAAAGTTCAAGTTTTCAACCTGGGTGGTAGTTACAAGGGTGTTCAAATTATAATAACTTATTAAGCCATACATTTGTGTGGCTTCCTGTATCTGTGCTTTATTTAATAATAAAAAATATTTTTAAGGTAGGATTGCTGGTTGATAACACACATTCTCCATTTATTTCAACATTTACCTCTCCTCTAGTGAACTTACAGGATTTTTATAATTGTAGCACATGTTAGCTTTATTGATGGTAGACATAGAGAAGAGTCTTTGGTACCAATACATTGAGATCAAGATGTACTTATATTTACCAGAGTGGATGTTACATGTTATGAAATACCAAATGCTCACCAGATGAAAACAGGGCCTTGAAATTCACAATAGAAAAATGACAATTGGCAAACTTGCTCCTCCTACCTTTTTGGAGACTATCTTCTTTGTATACATCCAAGAACTGAGACGAGTTTTGGAAATGTTATAATGGCAGAAGGGTTTTGACTGAGACACAAGTAATCTTTCATCTATGTAGAATAAAAAATACTTAAGACCATTAATATAGAACAATCTGCTGAGAGCTAGCCAGCCTCTGTGCCTCCTGCTGGAATATTCTTTGAAAATCCAGGAAAGCAAAGGTCCCAGGAAAGCAAAGCTTCCTCTCTACTGCTGAAAATGAATTCGATGGTACAAAGGTGCAAGATTCGCAAATGCCATAGTCATTTTCAAGCTCAGAGTAAAGTCTGGATCCACCATAGTTTCTCCAGTCACCTGCAATATAAAGAAATCTAGCCAATACAACAGCAACAGTATTTCCCAGGGTAATAGCATGCCAAACCATTCTACTTTCTTCTATGATTTATTCCACAATTCAAAGGAACTTTATACTTAAATGAAGGTCTGATAACACCTCTTTAATGGCTACTCAAGTTCCCTGCCCTGAAGTGAAAATAAACCTTACATGTCCAAAAAACAAAAAGGGTCTGACTTGCAGTATGGCTACACTATCTTACAGATAGAAACCATTAACTCTGGCAAAATATAACAGACTTGAAAGCCCTAGAGAGTGGACAAAAGAGGAGAGTCTGAAGAGGAGTCAATATTTGAAGGAAGAAAAAAAGCAGGGGATTAGTTTTCTATCTCTGTGGCTTTTAGCCTGAGGATATTCCACGTACAAAGTGACTCAAATAGAAAACTCAGTTTTTCTGGATTGAAGAACTAGAAGACAGAGGTTGGGGAAGAGTTTCTAGAAAGTGAAGGGGGAATACCAGGGAAGAGAGGGGCTGAGAGCAAGAACCCCAGTTTCTGTGTAAACTCTGCCCAACCTCTGGCTGACCCCTGAACCATACCTCACATAACTTGTGCAGTCTATAAGCAACCTAGCTCTTGGCAAGCTAAGGATGAAGGAACTGAATGAAAATTATAGTTGTTGCCCAAGAGACGCAGTGACAGTTTGAGTCCAAACCGGTTAAATTACTCCTAAGACAAACATATCAAAACTCTAAAAAGGAATACAATAGAATCCAGAGTCAGAATAATATAACATCCACAGAATCCAAGGGACAATCTAAAATTACTGAACATATGAAGAGTCGATATAACATGACCCTATTCAAGAGATAAGCCAATAAATTAAGGCCAGCCCCAGATATTAGAATTAACAGAGAAAGGCTTCAAAGTAGCTATTACAACTATCTCCAATGAGGTAAAAGAACATAAACTCAGAATAAATTATAGGTCAGAGATTCTCCGCAGGAAAAAGAACAAAATGGAAATTCTGTAACTGAAAAATATTATATATGAAATAAAAAATTCACTGTATGAGCTTGAAAGCTGAGTAGAGTTGACAGATGAGTCAGTATACTTGAAGATAGATCCGCAGAAAATATGTGATCTGAAGAAGACAGAGAAAAAGATTAAAAATAAATAGATGGATGGATAGATGGATGAAAGGAACAAGCCTTACGGACCTGTGGGATAATAGCAAAAAGTGTAACATAGGTAAGATTGGAGTCCCAGAGGCAAGAAGAGAGAAAACAGGGCTGGTAAAATAGTCCATGAAAAAATTACTGTAAATTTTTCAAATTTGGTGAACACCACAAATTAACAAATTTAAGAAGCTCCTTGAACCCCAAGACAAATGAATGCAAAGAAAATCATGTCTAAGAACACTATAGTCAAATTAATAAAAATCTAAGAAAAAAGGAAAAGGCAAGAATCTCAGGATGTAAACAAAGGGGAGAAAAAACAGGAGATGAGGTTGGTTCACATGGGGCCTTGTAGAAGAATTTTATTGCAATGATGATAGCAGCTTGATTACAATGACAGGAGTAACTTGATTTTATTTGTTTCTTAAAATTTCACTCTAATGGTTATTTTGAGAATCGGTGTTTCTGTATTGCAAATGAGAGTTAGGACTAGGGTGAAAGTAAGAAGGGGGCAAGTTAGATATATACACTGAACGTAGAAGATAACCTGGAGAGCAATGCCTTGAGTAAGACTTGGCAGATGATAGAGAGAGGGGAATCAAGGATAATCCTTAGATTTTAGCCTGAGAAACTGCATAAATTATGAGTACCATCAAGAGAAAAGGAGAATACACAAGCATCAGGTTTGCAAGGAAAAAAAACAGAATTCAGCTTTGGAAATAAGAAGACTATTAGACATCCAGTTAAAGATACAAAAATAATATTTGAATATGCAAGTTTGGAGCTCAGGAAAAAGATGCAGATTGAAAATATAAACTGGGGCACTTGAAACAAATTATGGTATCAAATACTGAAGATTTTTATAAGATCACCTAAGGAGAAAGTTTAGTTAATGAAGTTTAGAAGGTCTCTCAATTTCAGCACTATTTATACTTGGGGCTAGATAATTCTTTTTTTTCTCAGGGAGCTGTCTCGAACCCAGCAAGATGCTTAGCAGCATTCCTGAACTCTACCCATTAGATGCCACTAGCATGTGTATGCACACACACCAGCTATAACAATCAAAATGTCTCTAGACATTGCTAAATGTCCCCCCCTTGGGTATAACCATCTCTGGTTGAGAACCACTGGCCAACACAAAGCCGGAGTCATGCCAATATGAATTGGAACAGAGAAGGAAGCCTTCAAAAGAGCCTGGGAAGGCTCTTGAGCCAAGATGCCCGAATAGGAACAGCTCCAGTCTACAGCTCCCAGCGTGAGCGACACAGAAGACGGGTAATTTCTGCATTTCCTACTGAGCAAACAGCACACCAGGAGATTATATCCCGCACCTGGCTCGGAGGGTCCTACGCCCACGGAGCCTCACTCATTGTTAGCACAGCAGTCTGAGATCAAACTGCAAGGCAGCAGCGAGGCTGGGGGAGGGGCGCCCGCCATTACCGACGCTTGAGTAGGTAAACAAAGTGGCCTGGGAAGCTCGAACTGGGTGGAGCCCACTGCAGCTCAAGCAGCCCTGCCTGCCTCTGTAGATTCCACCTCTGGGGGCAGGGCATTGCCAAACACAAGGCGCAGAATCCTCTGCAGACTTAAATGTCCCTGTCTGACAGCTTTGAAGAGAGTAGTGGTTCTCCCAGCACACAGCTTGAGATCTGAGTATGGACAGGCTGCCTCCTCAAGTGGGTACCTGACCCCCGAGTAGCCTAACTGGGAGGCACCACCCAGTAGGGGCAGACTGACACCTCACAAGTCCGGGTACTCCTCTGAGACAAAACTTCCAGAGGAACGATCAGGCAGCAACATTTGCTGTTCACCAATATCCGCTGTTCTGCAGCCTCCGCTGCTGATACCCAGGCAAACACGGTCTGGAGTGGACCTCCAGCAAACTCCAACAGACCTGCAGCTGAGGGTCCTGACTGTTAGAAGGAAAACTAACAAACAGAAAGGACATCCACACCAAAACCCCATTTGTACGTCACAATCATCAAAGACCAAAGGTAGATAAAACCACAAAGATGGGGAAAAAACAGAGCAGAAAAACTGGAAACTCTAAAAATCAGAGTGCCTCTCCTCCTCCAAAGGAACGCAGCTTCTCACCAGCAATGGAACAAAGCTGGACAGAGAATGACTTTGATGAGTTGAGAAAAGGCTTCAGACAATCAAACTACTCCAAGCTAAAGGAGGAAGTTCGAACCCATGGCAAAGAAGTTAAAAACCTTGAAAAAAAATTAGACGAATGGTTAACTAGAATAACCAATGCAGAGAAGTCCTTAAAGGACCTGATGAAGCTGAAAACCAAGGCACGAGAACTACGTGACAAATGCACAAGCCTCAGTAGCCGATGTGATCAACTGGAAGAAAAGGTACCAGTGATGGAAGATCAAATGAATGAAATGAAGCGAGAAGGGAAGGGAAGTTTAGAGAAAAAAGAATAAAAAGAAATGAACAAAGCCTCCAAGAAATATGGGACTATGTGAAAAGACCAAATCTATGTCTGATTGGTGTACCTGAAAGTGACGGGGAGAATGGAACCAAGTTGGAAAACACTCTGCAGGATATTATCCAGGAGAACTTCCCCAGTCTAGCAATGCAGGCCAACATTCAAATTCAGGAAATACAGAGAACGCCACAAAGATACTCCTTGAGAAGAGCAACTCCAAGACACATAATTGTCAGATTCACCAAAGTTGAAATGAAGGAAAAAATGTTACCTGCAAAGGGAAGCCCATCAGACTAACAGCTGATATCTCGGCAGAAACTCTACAAGCCAGAAGAGAGTGGGGGCCAATATTCAACATTCTTAAAGAAAAGAATTTTCAACCCAGAATTTCATATCCAACCAAACTAAGCTTCATAAATGAGGAGAAATAAAATACTTTACAGACAAGCAAATGCTAAGAGATTTTGTCACCACCAGGCCTGCCCTAAAAGAGCTCCCGAAGGAAGCACTAAACATGGAAAGGAACAATTGGTACCAGCCACTGCAAAAACATGCCAAATTGTAAAGACCATCGAGGCTAGGAAGAAACTGCATCAACCAACAAGCAAAATAACCAGCTAACATCATAATGGCAGGATCAAATTCACACATAACAATATTAACCTTAAATGTAAATGGGCTAAATGCTCCAATTAAAAGACACGGACTGGCAAATTGGATAAAGAGTCAAGACCCATCAGTGTACTGTATTCAGGAAACCCATCTCATATGCAGCGACACACATAGGCTCAAAATAAAGGGATGGAGCAAGATCTAACAAGCAAATGGAAAACAAAAAAAGGCAGGGGTTGCAATTCCAGTCTCTGATAAAACAGACTTTAAACCAACAAACATCAAAAGAGACAAAGAAGGCCATTACATAATGGTAAAGGGATCAATTCAACAAGAAGAGCTAACTATCTTAAATATATATGCACCCAATACAGGAGCACCCAGATTCATACAGCAAGTACTTAGAGACCTAGAAAGAGACTTAGACTCTCACACAATAATAATGGGAGACTTTAACACCCCACTGTCAACATTAGACAGATCAACGACACAGAAAGTTAATAAGGATATCCAGGAACTGAACTCAGCTCTGCACCAAGCAGACCTAACAGACATCTACAGAACTCTCCACCCCAAATCAACAGAATATACATTCTTCTCAGCACCACACCGCACTTATTCCAAAATTGACCACATAGTTGGAAGTAAAGCACTCCTCAGCAAATGTAAAAGAACAGAAATTATAACAAACTGTCTCTCAGACCACAGTGCAATCAAACTAGAACTCAGGATTAAGAAACTCCCTCAAAACCTCTCAACTACATGGAAACTGAACAACCTGCTCCTGAATGACTACTGGGTACATAATGAAATGAAGGCAGAAATAAAGATGTTCTTTGAAACCAACGAGAACAAAGACACAACATACCAGAATCTCTGGGACACATTCAAAGCAGTGTGTAGAGGGAAATTTATAGCACTAAATGCCCACAAGAGAAAGCAGGAAAGATCTAAAATTGACACCCTAACATCACAATTAAAAGAACTAGAGAAGCAAGAGCAAACACATTCAAAAGCTAGCACAAGGCAAGAAATAACTAAGATCAGAGCAGAACTGAAGGAAATAGAGACACAAAAAACCCTTCAAAAAATCAATGAATCCAGGAGCTGGTTTTTTGAAAAGATCAACAAAATTGATAGACTGCTAGCAAGACTAATAAAGAAGAAAAGACAGAAGAATCTAACAGACACATAAAAAATGATAAAGGGGATATCACCACCAATCCCACAGAAATACAAACTACCATCAGAGAATACTATAAACACCTCTACGCAAATAAACTAGAAAATCTAGAAGAAATGGATAAATTCCTCGACACATACACCCTCCCAAGACTAAACCAGGAAGAAGTTGAATCTCTGAATAGACCAATAACAGGCTCTGAAATTCAGGCAATAATTAATGGCTTACCAACCAAAAACAGTCCAGGACCAGATGGATTCACAGCCAAATTCTATCAGAGGAACAAGGAGGAGCTGGTACCATTCCTTCTGAAACTATTTCAATCAATAGAAAAAGAGGGAATCCTCCCTAACTTATTTTATGAGGCCAGCATCATCCTGATACCAAAGCTTGGCAGAGACACAACAATAAAAGAGAATTTTAGAACCAATATCCCTGATGAACATCGATGCAAAAATCCTCAATAAAATACTGGCAAATCGAATCCAGCAGCATATCAAAAAGCTTATCCACCATGATCAAGTGGGCTTCATCCCTGGGATGCAAGGCTGGTTCAACATACGCAAATCAATAAACATAATCCAGCATATAAACAAAACCAACGACAAAAACCATATGATTATCTCAGTAGATGCAGAAAAGGTCTTTGACAAAATTCAACAACCCTTCATGCTAAAAACTCTCAATAAATTAGGTATTGATGGGACAAATCTCAAAATAATAACAGCTATCTATGACAACCCACAGCCAATATCATACTGAATGGGCAAAAACTGGAAGCACTCCCTTTGAAAACTGGCACAAGACAGGGATGCCCTCTCTCACCACGCCTATCAACATAGTGTTGGAAGTTCTGGCCAGGGCAATCAGGCAGGAGAAGGAAATAAAGGGTATTCAATTAGGAAAACAGAAAGTCAAATTGTCCCTGTTTGCAGATGACATGATTGTATATCTAGAAAACCCCATCATCTCAGCCCAAAATCTCCTTAAGCTGATAGGCAACTTCAGCAAAGTCTCAGCATACAAAATCAATGTGCAAAAATCACAAGCGTTCTTATACACCAATAACGGACAAACAGAGAGCCAAATCATGAGTGAACTCCCATTCACAATTGCTTCAAAGAGAATAAAATACCTAGGAATCCAACTTACAAGGGACGTGAAGGACCTCTTCAAGGAGAACTACAAACCACTGCTCAATAAAATAAAAGAGGATACAAACAAATGGAAGAACATTCCATGCTCATGGATAGGAAGAATCAATATGGTGAAAATGGCCATACTGCCCAAGGTAATTTATAGATTCAATGCCATCTCCATCAAGCCACCAATGACTTTCTTCACAGAATTGGAAAAAAACTACTTTAAAGTTCATATGCAACCAAAAAAGAGCCCGCATCGCCAAAAGAAAAAAGCTGGAGGCATCATGCTACCTGACTTCAAACTATACTACAAGGCTACAGTAACCAAAACAGCATGGTACTGGTACCAAAACAGAGATATAGACCAATGGAACAGAACAGAGCCCTCAGAAATAACAACACACATCTACAACCATCTGATCTTTGACAAACCTGACAAAAACAAGAAATGGGGAAACGATTCCCTATTTAATAAATGGTGCTGGGAAAACTGGCTAGCCATATGTAGAAAGCTGAAACTGGATCCCTTCCTTACACCTTATACAAAAATTAATTCAAGATGGATTAAAGACTTAAATGTTAGACCTAAAACCATAAAAACCCTAGAAGAAAACCTAGGCAATACCATTCAGGACATAGGCATGGGCAAGGACTTCATGTCTAAAACACCAAAAGCGTTGGCAACAAAAGCCAAAATTGACAAATGGGATCTAATTAAACTAAAGAGTTTCTGCACAGCAAAAGAAACTACCATCAGCCTGAACAGGCAACCTACAGAATGGGAGAAAATTTTTGCAATCTACTCATCTGACAAAGGGCTAATATCCAGAATCTACAACAAACTCCAACAAATTTACAAGAAAAAAACAAGCAACCCCATCAAAAAGTGGGCAAAGGATATGAACAGACACTTCTCAAAAGAAGACATTTATGCAGCCAAAAGACACGTGAAAAAATGCTCACCATCACTGGCCATCAGAGAAATGCAAATCAAAACCACAATGAGATACCATCTCACACCAGTTAGACTGGCGATCTTTAAAAAGTCAGGAAACAACAGGTGCTGGAGAGGATGTGGAGAAATAGGAACACTTTTACACTGTTGGTGGGACTATAAACTAGTTCAACCATCGTGGAAGTCAGTGTGGCAATTCCTCAGGGATCTAGAACTAGAAATACCATTTGACCCAGCCATCCCATTACTGGGTATATACCCAAAGGATTATAAATCATGCTGCTATAAAGACACATGCACACGTATGTTTATTGTGGCACTATTCACAATAGCAAAGACTTGGAACCAACCCAAATGTCCAACATTGATAGACTGGATTAAGAAAATGTGGCACATATACACCATGAAATACTATGCAGCCATAAAAAATGATGAGTTCATGTCCTTTGCAGGGACATGGATGAAGCTGGAAACCATCGTTCTCAGCAAACTATCACGAGGACAAAAAACCAACCACCACATGTTCTCACTCATAGGTGGGAATTGAACAATGAGAACACATGGACACAGGAAGGGGAACATCACACACTGGGGCCTGTTGTGGGGTGGGGGGAGGGGGTAGGGATAGCATTTGGAGATATACCTAATGTTAAATGACGAGTTACTGGGTGCAGCACACCAACATGGCACATGTATACATATGTAACAAACCTGCATGTTGTGCACATGTACCCTAAAACTTAAAGTATAATTAAAAAAAAAAAGAGCCTGGGAAGAAGCAGTCAATGGAGTAGGAGAAAAAAAAAACTTAAGAAAAAGTATGGTTTATTCAAGTGTTTTACTTTGCTTTCCTGAACATTTGCTTATGTGTAATTAATTGTTATTACTTCTCTTCCAAGACTATGAGCTCCAATAGGATAAGAACCACCTTTGTCTTCTTTCCAAGTGACTACCACAGTACCTGGAACAAAAGGCCTTCATTAAAGTGTTAGCCTCCTTTCCTTTCTCCCTAAGGGCACATATAATATTTTATAAGAAACTTAATAAGCCACCGTCTTAGCTCAAAATGAATGAGATCATTTTAAATATATATAAGAGGAGCACATTGCTGAGGACACAAAAAACTGGTTCAGTAAACCATTTGGAATAGCATTTATGGCTATTGTATTTATATTTTTACAAATATTTTTCCTTAACAATATACTGCTGTAATTTAGAGATTTGTGTTTTTACTTCACAAAATACAGGCACTGTCCTATAAAAGTATATATTGATATTATTCATTAAAATGAAAAAAATCAGAAAAGTATTAAGTATTTAGCTCTTATGAGTTTTTATTGTTCTGGATTCAATAAAAATAAGTAACACTTGGCAACCGACAAATTCAGACAAATAAGGTCAACATAATATTCACAGATAGAAGAGCTAATACTGCCCCTCATATACATAAATGGTATCACTGATCCTTCAACAGATTGAGTACAGTTTTTCCAGCAATGGTTGATTAATGTTCATACAAAACCACATACTTAAGTTTTAACTTTTATAACCAATCACAAGCATATCTAATATGAAAGGATGTTTTCTGTGTTCATTAATTCAAGCCAACTATGCTAAACAGAATATCTTCTCAAACTTGAAGTCATGAATTTGGAGTCAACAAGTAACATTCTGCTACAGGTTAACCAGCTTAGAAGACAAAAGGCCTAAACATACACACACACACACACACACACACACACACACACACACACACACACAGCAGCAGCAGCAGCAGCAGTGGAAGCAGCATATCTAGCTACATGAGGGATGAGAAAATTAACTGCAGTCTCATCCCCTAAGTTTTAAAAGAGACCTCAAATTATATTTTTTTGCCAACTCACCAGAAAGACTATCTCAATAACCAACAACCCACATTATTTCTCTAAATGAAACCATACCCACATGGCACAGCTCCTGCAATCCGGGCTGAAGAAGATATTCTGAACCATCTGGCACATGAAATTAAGCATTACCTCTTGCTTTTCAAGGATCGATTTGCTTCAACTGATCTATACACACTAAAGACCTTGCTGGTAATGAAGTTAGAGGTGAGATGGAAAGAAACCTTCAACGATAAATGTAGCTCAGACCAAAATTATTTATCAAGCTACAACAGATACTTCCTTTGGCATCAGCCCACCTCATAATAACCCCATTTTCTCTGAGAACAGCTCTCTCAACATCCCCGTCCATGGGAGAAGCACTTGCCAGCCATATGTGTGTAATGTGAACCCACACCTCTGATTAGTTTGTTGACCTGAAGGGGAACATATGACTCAGACAGAACCAATTGGATTTTTTCACCTGGGAATTTATAATTGTAACACAGAGTATAATCTGTTTGTGGTCAGAGTGTTTTATATATAATTAGGAGAGAAGTGCCTATTCTATTTCACCGTGGAGACAAAATATAGCAAATGAAGTAGAGAAATGGAAGGAAAACCATCTGAGCTCTCTACATTTTCTGTTTTAATTATTTTCTGAGACCCAATGAATAGCTAATATACTATTAAGAAGGTAGTAGGAGAAGACAGATTGATCGACACATTATACAGAAAGATCTAGGAACCCTGAAATACACAAGAGTGGAAAATCCAGTCAAATAAACCAGATGTAGAAATCGTGGATGGGGAGGCAGAGTGGTTTTGAGTACAGAATCATGACTGACACTCAAAACTGTCCCATCTCAATCACCACGGCTTTTGTGTGCCCAGAAATAAATAATGTATTGAAAATAAACTGTAGGCTGGGCACAGTGGCTCATACCTGTAATCCCAGCACTTTGGGAGGCCTAGGCAAGAGGATTGCTTGAGCCCAGGAGTTTGAGACCAACCTGGGCAGCATGGCAAACAAAATCCCATCTCTACAAAAAATAGAAAAATTAGTCAGGCATGGTAGCATGCACCTGTGGTCCCAGCTACTTAGAAGACTGAGGTGAGAGGATTGCTTGAGCCCAAGAGGTCAAGGCTGCAGTAAGCTGTGATCACGCCCCTGCACTCCAGCCTATGTAACACAGCGAGACCCTGTCTCAATCAATCAGTCAATTCTATTACTTGGCATATCACCAGCTCTATAATAGGGAACCCCCACTGCCACCATGTTTAACACGCACATTAATGGAAATCGTGTTGCCCAGATGCTTGCAAATAAAAATAAACAAAAATCTAACCCAAATTGGCAAAAATCATGAGGGATTTCATCAGTCTAGAAAACTAAAAGTATAGAGTGAGTATAATGTTAGTTACCCTTGACATAGATGCTTAAACAGTTTTACAGAAGGCTTCTTCCTCTCCGCCTCTCCACCCACAGATTTTGCTTCATCCTGAGTTTCTTTATGGTGAGCACCCTCAAAAACTCTGCCTCAAGTAGCACAATGGCTGCTGTGATTCAGTCCACACCACTCAGAAGAAGAGAAAGTATCCTTAATCCAGTCTTTACAGAGGAAGAAAAACTTCTCTCAGAAGTCCCAGAAAACTTCTCTTCATATTTTATTGACTTTATTGGCTTAAGAGTCCATACCTAAACAAGCACTATGGCCAAAACATGAGGTATGTTGACTGGTTTAAGCCAACTAGGATTTGTCTTCCCAAGGGCACAGTTGGCTATCAGTGTGGCTAATCCTGGACCCAAGGTATGCCCATCTGACTATAGTCAGGTCAAACAGTTATAAATCTCATGGCATCTCCTTAAAAATATTTGTGCTAAAATTTCTCCTGTTCCCACCATCCTCTTTTTTCCTTATGGGTTTCTAGAGGAACCTTAGAAGCCACATATCCAGTATGGTACAGTCTCCATGGTAGCCCTGGGCTGTTCAACTCTTGAAGGTATCAAAAAGAAAAAGAAAAATGTTATTTAAGCCACTGTATATTATGGTCTCTGTTGTAGCATTTTGGCCTGTTCCCTAAAAACATAGTTTCTTGACTCTTGCACTCTTTTATCTTTTATACTGCTGCCAGAGTGTATAATCTAACACAGAAATATGACTGTGCTATCCCAGCTTAAAGCTCTTCCATGTATCCTTGCTCCTCACATAGTGTTTCTAAAATTTTAAAAGTGGTCTACGGATACTTCCATCATAACCATGGAAGAGGAGAAGGCAAACTGCTTCGATGAAAATAAAGATTCCCAAACAAGTTGAATCAGGATGTCTTGGGTATCTTTATTTCTAAAAGTTACCACAAGTGTTTGTTTTGCATAATGAATATTGAGAGCCACTGACCTTTTCTCTGTCTCACACCATCAACTCTAGTGCCACTAACTCACCTGGAATCCTCTGATCACAGTGTTGTTCCATCACTTCCATAACTTTATACTATTTCTCGCCCAGGTGAGAATACCCTTGACATCTCTCTTCTTCCAATCCTTCTACTAAACATTCTATCATCTTTCCATATTCAGGTCATTCTTTTCTGAGGGCCTATGTTAGAATTAACCAATCTCTACTTGGATCCCCATTCAAACCTCTTCCAATCAGTATCATATCCTACAGAACTTTTTATAATTTTATTTCCTATCTCCTTCTCTCCTCTAAACTGTCACCTTCTTGGGGACATAGACCATGTAATATTTCTCCTTTATCCAGCAACTAACTGGTGTTTGTTAAAGACAAACAAAAAAAGCATGAAAAAAAATCCAGTCATCTGTATTAGTCTATGAGTTGCCTTGAAGAGTAACTAAAGTTTTTTTATTAAAACAGATGTTCATGCCAGGCACAGTTGTTCACACCTGTAATCCCAGTACTTTGGGAGGCCAAGTCAGGTGAATCACTTGAGGCCAGAAGTTTGAGACCAGCCTGGCCAACATGGTGAAACCCCATCTCTACTAAAAATATAAAAATTAGCCAGGTTCAGTGGTGGATGCCTGTAATCCCAGCTACTTGGGAGGCTGAGGCATGAGAATTGCTTGAACCCAGGAGGCAGAGGTTGCAGTGAGCCAAGATCATGCCACTGCACTCTAACCTGGGCAACAGAGTGAGACTCTCTCTCAAAAAGAAAAGAAAACAAAACAAAACCCAGATGCTCATAAACTAGATAGATTTTTAAATATACTATAAGTAAAACAAGATTTTTTCCTAAAACAAACTTGAAAGTGGTATGCTATACAAAAAATGTCCCTAGAAAAGCTTTATGTTCAAATAAGCACGTGTTCCCTTAGAATCACTTAAAACTTCACATTAACAAAAAAAAAAATTCCTTTCAAATTTCTTGAATTTCGAGATTTAAAAAAAGAATACAGGAAGTTCTCATCAAATAATTAAATAGTGATAGCGATAGGAGGCAGACAAATTCCTAGGTAGACAGGGACAGGTCCCCAGTGAAACTCAACCTTCAAGCCAAGGACAGCCTGGAGCCTAAACACCAACATACCAGTTTGGAATAGAGTCCACAGACTTGAGAACTTCCATTTTCATTTGGTGCACGCAGCCCCTGATTGGTCCTGGGCCAAGGTCCAAGACCAAGCCTCAGTTCCTGATTGGTTCTTTAAACTATCATACCTCATTCTGAATGATGCTTTTTTCCAAGCCTACCCATAAGCCAATCAGCATGCATTTCCCTATTCTAAAACCATAAATACCCCAGACTCAACCTTGCAGCCAGCAACCCACTTTTGTGTCTCCTCTTGCTGCTGAGGGCTTTCTTTCTGTCACTCAGAAAAATTCTACTCTGCCTTACTCACTCTCCAGTGACTGCATGCCTCATTCCTCTTGGTCATGAGACAAGAACTCACAACTCACCAAACTGTGGGAGTGAAGGAGCTGTAACACTCACTGAACTATGGGAGCAAAGAAACTGCAACAATAGGATAGCAAATAAACACATTGTGTTAGTCCATTTTCACACTATTATAAAGACATACTCAAGACTGGGTAATTTGTATAGACGAGAGGTTTAATTGACTCACATTTCCACATGGCTGGGAAGGCCTCAGGAAACTTACAATCATGGCAGAAGGGGAAGAGGCACGTCTTACATGGCATCAGGCAAGAGAGACTCTGTGTGTCAGCTCAGGAAAAACTACCATTTAAAAAAACATCAGATCTTGTGAGAATTCACTCACTATCACGAGAACAGCATGGGGGAAACAGCCCCCATAACCTAATCACTTCCCCCCAGGTCTCTCCATCAACACCTGGGGACATCAATTCAAGATGAAATTTTAGGTGGGGACACAGCCAAACCATATAATTCCACCCCTGGCTCCTCCCAAATCTCATGTCCTCACATTTCAAAACCAAACATGCCTCCCAACAGTCCCCCAAAGTCTTAACTCATTTCAGCATTAACTCAAAAGTCCAAGTCTCATCTGAGAAAAGGCAAGTCCCTTTTATCTATGAGCCTGTAAAATCAAAAACAAGTTAGTTACTTCCAAGACACAGTGGGATTACAGGCATTGGGTAAATGTTCTCATTCCAAATGGGAGAAATTAGCCAAAACAAAGAGGTTACTGGCCCCATACAAGTATGAAACCAGTCAGGGAAGGCATTAAAACTTAAAAACTCCAAAAAGATCTCATTTGACTCCATGTCTCACATCAAGGTCACACTGATGCAAGAGGTGGGATCCCATGGTCTTGGGCAGCTCTGTCCCTGTGGCTTCACAGGGTGCAACACCCCTCCTGGCTGCTTTCACAGGCTGGCATTGAGTGTCTGTGACTTCTCCAGGCTCATGGTGCAAGTTGTCAGTGGATCTACCATTCCAGGGTCTAGAAGACTGCAGCCCTCTTCTCACAGCTGCACTAGGCAGTGCCCCAGTGGAGACTCTGTGTGGGGGCTCCAAGCCCACATTTTCCTTCTGCACTGTCCTAGCAGAGGTTCTCCACGAGGGCTCCATTTCTGCAGCAAACTTCTGCCTGGACATCCAGGCATTTCCATACAGCTCCTGAAATCTAGGCCAAGGTTCCCACTGACTTCCCATCCACGGGTCCAATACCACATGGATGCTGCCAAGGCTTGGGACTTGCACCCTCTGAAGCAACAGCCTGAGTTGTACATTGGCCCCTTTTAGGCACATGTGATGGTTAATATTTAGTGGCAACTTGACTGGATTGAAGGATGCAAAATATTGTTCCTGGAGGTGTCTGTGTGGGTACTGCCAAAGGAGATTAACATTTGAATCAGTGGACTAGGAGAGACAGACCCACCCTCAATCTTGGTGGGCACCATCTAATCAGCTGCCAGCATGGCTAGGATAAAAGCAGGCAGAGGAATATGGAAGGACTAGACAGGCTAAGTCTTCTGGCCTCCATCTTTCTCCCATGATGGATGCTTCCTGCCCTCAAACATTAAACTCCAAGCTATTCAGCTTTTGGACTCTTGAACCTACACCAGTGATTTGCTAGGGGCTCTGGGGCCTTTGGCCACAGACTGAAGGCTGCACTGTTGGCTTCCCTACTTTTAGGTTTTGGGACTCAAACTGGCTTCCTGGCTCCTCAGTTTGCAGATGGCCTACTGTGGGACTTCACCTTGTGATTGTGTGAGTCAATACTGTTTAATAAACTCCCTTTTATATATACATCTCTCCTATTATTTCCCTCTAGAGAACCCTAATATGCCATGGCTGGAGCTGGAGCAGGGGCACCAAGTCCTGATGCTGCACACAGCAGCAGAGCCCTGGGCCCTACCCACTAAACCAATTTTCCCCTGTAGGACTCCAGGCCTGTGACGGGAGGGGCTACCGGGAAGGTCTCTGACATGCCGTAGAGACATTTTCCCCGTTGTCTTGGTGGTTAACATTTGGCTCCTCATTACTTATGCAAATTTCTGCAGCTGGCTTGAATTTCTCCCCAGAAAATTAGTTTTTCTTTTCTACCACATTGTTAGGCTGCAAATTTTCCAGCATTTTATGCTCTGTTTCCCTTTTAAAGATAAGTTTCAATTTCAGATCATCTCTCTCAAGTTCAAAGTTCCACAGATCTCTAGGTCAGGGGCAAAATGCTGAAGCATAGCAAGAGTGACCTTTGCTTCAGTTCCCAATAAGTCCCTCATCTCCATCTAAGACCACCTTAGCCTAGACTTCCTTGTTCACATCACTATCAGCATTTTGATCAAAACCATTCAACAAGTCTCCAGGAAGCTCCAAACTTTCCCACATCTTCCTGTCTTCTTCTGAGCCCTCCAAACTGTTCCAACCTCTGCCCATTACCTAGTTCCAAAGTCGCTTCCACATTTTCAGGTATCTTTATAGCAGTGTCCCACTCTCCATGGTATCCATTTATTGTATTCATCAATTTTCACACTGCTATAAAGACATACCCAAGACTGGGTAATTTATAAAGAAAAGAAGTTTAATTGACTCACAGTTCCACATGGCTGGGGAGGCCTCAGGAAACTTACAATCATGGCAGAAGGGAAAGAGGCACATCTTGAATGGTGGCAGATGAGAAAGAGAGAACAGTGAACAGTGAAGGGGGAAAAGCCCCTTATAGAACCATCAGACCTCATGAGAATTCACTCACTATCATGAGAAGAGCATGGGGGAAACTGCTCCCATGATCCAATCACTTCCCACCAGGTCTCTTCCTAAACACTTGGAGATTACAATTCAAGATGAGATTTGGGTAGGGGCACAAAGCCTAACCATATCACACACTATTCTAGTTCACCCAGGAAATAGGTAAATTATGAAATAGGAGACCACCTGTGAAACCATGCTAACCTAAAGACTGAAATTCAAAACAAAGAAATAAGGTGAAAAGCACTTTGAAATTGGTTACATGTCTTAGAGAAAAGTTCTGCTATTATATCTAAATACATTAAATACTAGCAAGTACCTGGTATATAGCAGGCTGTCAAGAAATGATATTTGCTTTCCTTATACAAACATAAATCTTCCATTTTAAATGAAAAATAAACAGTTCATTTAACAATTAACAGTCTACTTAGATATCTTCCCTTGATTCAACTGAGCTACCCTATTTCTACCTGCAGCCTTCATTACACCCCAGATTCTAGTATTAATTGAATCCTAGTCAAGGGTTTAACTAAGTCCCCAAAATTAATTCTGTATTGGTTCAACATTTTTAATTAGTACCTTTGCTTGTCCTGACTTACTCTCTTACCTGAATTCCAGCAAGTAGATTATGTTCCTGCTCTCTCTTTCAGTTCCAGCAATGGGGTCAATTTCTTCTCCCAACCCATACCAGATTGCCAGCCTTCACACTGGGCCCAGTATTTCCTAAGCCCTTGGGATGCTAGTCATGGCTATGATATCCAGCAAGGGTAACCACATTCTTAGTGTCTTTAGAAAGCACTGGATTTGGCCGGGCACGGTGGCTCATGCCTGTAATCCCAGCACTTCGGGAGGCCGAGGCGGGTGGATCACCTGAGGTCAGGAATTCAAGACCAGCCTGGCCAACATGATGAAACCCCGTCTCTACTTAAAAATACAAAAAATTAGCTGGGCGTGGTGGTACATGCCTGTAATCCCAGCTACTCGGGAGGCTGAGGTAGGAGAATTGCTTGAACCTGGGAGGCAGAGGTTTCAGTGAGCCGAGATCGCGCCATTGCACTCCAGACTGGGAGACAAGAGCAAGACTTCATCTCAAAAAAAAAAAAAAAAAAAAGCAGTACTGGATTCTGCCAGTCTTCGACCACCAACCCCGCCCCACCACCACCAAAAAAAAAAGTCATTCTTGTCCTAAGAAGGTCAAGGAATGTCATGATGAAACTGATGTACTTGCCACCATGTGTCCCCAGGATCCCGTAAATCCTCAGAAACCTGCTCTGGATAAAACCTATCAGTTACTATGAGGTCCTATCCTGATCCACTACAGTGCAAGAGTTCCACTTCCTGATTACCTCCAGAAATTCAACATCAGATTTATGATTTAGAATCATTTTTCAAAACAATTACATAAACTTGAGATCAGGAATCTTCTTTGTTTCCCAAAATAACTAAAATGACCTGTTTTTCTTCTGTCACTGGTCACTTTATTCCAAGTATGCATTGTGAATGAATATTTTAATTGTAACTATTTCTCAGTTGAATTGGAAACTTTTAAGTTTAAAAAATAAATTGTATGCATATAATAGACTTCTTTTATTTTTATCTCTAATTGAAAAATAGTAATTATATATATTTGTGGGCTACAATGTGAGCACAAAACATTCACATACCTGTATACATTGTGGAATAATTAAATCAGGTTAATTAACATATCTCTAACCTCACATACTTATCATTTTTTGAGGTGAGAATATTTAAAATCCACTCTTTTCCCAATTTTGAAATACACAATACATTATAGTCCCCATGCTGTGCAATAGATCCCTAGAACTTATTCCTCCTAACTGAAACGTTGTAGCCTTTGACCAACATTCTCTCTTTCCACATTCACACCCCACACCCCCCCTCTACTGGTAACCACCATCCTACTCTCCATACATAGTAGGCTTCTTAAGCCTATGTATATCCAAGAATGCCTACTGTCTTATGTATATTTCCCTTCCAAAGTCTGTATCTCCCAGTTTACAGCATTGTGGAGAAGTCCAATATCAACCTGGCTTTTGGCCATTTAATAACCTATTTTCCTTAGACTATAAGCCTTAATGATTTTTTAATCCTTTAAATTCAAAGATTTTACCAAAATATATACCATTTCAATAATAAAAACAGCCACAAAGCAATAATACAAATGTCTACTAAAAAGCTGAGACATGAGCCCTGGCAGTGTGGCTCCAAAACTCATGCACTTAACCAGTACACTATACCATTTCAAGTCTGATTCAGTAATGTGTCTTCTATATTTCTGAGAATAGTTTTTATATTTAGCCTACCTTTCACAGACTTCACTGTATCAAGAAATCCATGATTTTTACCAAGAATTATTTCTTGTTCCCAGATTATTTTTCAAGATGGTGCAGTTTTGTCTTTATGAATCCAACATAAGGTGTGAATTCAAGTTAAGGAGGTACTTTTTTGCTGTGCTTTTCTGCTATAGTTTGAATGTCCCCTCTGAAACTCATGTTGAAACTTAATCTGCAATGTAACAGTATTAAGACATGAGGCCTTTAAGAGGTGACTAGGTCATGAGAGCTCTCACCTCATGAATAAATTAATGTATTCATAGATTAAGGTGTCAATGAATTAATGGACTATCATGAGAGTAGGTCTGTTATAAAAACCATATTGGCTCTCTCTCATGAATCCTCTTGTTATGTGATGACCTGCAGCATCTCAGGACTCTGCAGAGTCCCCACCAGCAGGAAGGCCCTCACCAGATGCAGCCCCTCAAGCTGACTTCCCAGCCTCCAGCACTGTAAGAAATGGTTTTTTTTTTCTTTTTTCTTTTAACTGAGTCTTGCTCTGTTGCCCAGGCTGGAATGCAATGGCGTGATCTGGGCTCACTGCAAACTCTGCCTTCTGGGTTCCAGCAATTCTCCTGCCTCAGCCTCCAGAATAGCTGGGATTACAGGCACCTACTACCATGCCTGGTTAATTTTTGTATTTTTAGTAGAGACGAGGTTTCACCATGTTGGCCAGGCTAGTCTCAACCACCTGACCTCAGGTGATCCACCCACCTCGGCCTCCCAAAGCACTGGTATTACAGGCATGAGCCACCATGCCCAGCCTAAATGTGTTTTCTTTATAAATTACCTAGTCTCGGGTATTCAGTTATAGCAACAGAAAGCAGACTATGGCGATATATTTAAGAGTAAAATACTGAGTTTGCTTTTTACAAATCCAATTATTTTTCTATTTTTATACGCACCTTACCAAAGCTATCTGTCTTACAAAGTATTTGGAGTTGAGATTGAGTTTGTCAGAATTTGTAGGTTTTCTATTGTCAGCTTCTAGGCCTAGAAAGGGATATTAAGTTTTTGTTTTTTGTAATGCTTCTGTAGCGCTGAGAGACTCAGGAGTCCCAGTGGTATAGGGAAGGATCATCATCAGAAAGGTGCTGGACGTTTCAAGGCTCCATCCCATTTTCATTACTGTGTTTCTGTTGGCTCCAGGGTGATGCTTCCTTCTCCAGCTAGTACTCCTGACTTCATTGTGGGCAATTTTAGCAGGAGACCTGCTTTACATAGCATGCCAGCCTTGTTAGAGTACATATACTTTGTAAATTCCAATATATGGAGCACTTTAAAATACATCAATACAGTCAATACTTTCCACTCTTATTGTCTCATGGCCCACCCTCTCTACAGGCTTCTATAATTCTGAGCCAAAAGGTGTTAGTAAAACTGTACTGAGGGTGACAGTCCTTATTTCTGGAGCAAGTTTTCTTTTACAAGTTACAGCCAACTGTAAGCTTATTAGTTTTTCTCTCATTATTTTCTTCCATGAACTTTATCACACAGACATTTGTCAAGCATTGACAAATATTCATTGCAATTCAATGCAATATTGTTGGCCAATATTCCATTGCAGTGTTCAACAAAGGATTTTTTTGTTGTTGCATTCCTTTATTCACTTTTATCATCACTTGGAGGATGAGGAAGGAAAAAAAGAGAGTTAAAATATTAGTCTTCTGAGTTCCACATTGGTAAGTATTATTATTCCCTTCATAATAATAATTAGGATACAATTATTATCCTAATTATAAAAATGTGCTCTTTTATAACTAGAATACAATTTCTGAAGAGGCATGTCAGCACAGTATACAATTGTTAAAAGAGACCATCACATCCCAAAATAACTGTGAGGAGTTCTTTATAACCTTTAGAGAAGTTTCTACCCCAGGCTACACAAGGAAATAAGCTAACAGATTCTGTGAACAGAAGCTAAGAGAAAAAGGTGAATGATGCTAAAATCCTTGGAAGTGTTTATCAGTTCACCTCCTGGTGACTACGGAAGATGATGTTAATTTGTAATGATTGGTAGAAATATGCTCCTGATAGCATAATTATGCCTCATAGAGTAGCTCATGAGTTGATTTCCAAGATAGCAAATTCTCCATTTTAAGACACCAAAAGATGCCAACATAAATTTATTCACACATTATTTTGAGGGGGAGTGTGTTAGTCCATTTTCACACTGCTGTAAAGATACTACCCAAGACTAGATAATTTATAAAGGAAACAAGTTTAATTGACTCACAGTTCCACATGGCTGGGGAGGTCTCAGGAAACTTACAATCATGGCAGAAGGGGAAGCAGGAACCTTATACACAAGGCAACCAGAGAGAGAAGAGTGAAGAGCTCCTTATAAAACCATCAGCTCTTGTGAGAACTCACTCACTATCTCTATAGCATGGGGGAACCGCCCCCACCATCCAATCACCTCCCACCGGGTTCCTCCCTTTGCACATGGGGATTAAAATTCTAGATGAGATTTGGGTGGGGACACAGAACCAAACCATATGAGAGAGGAAATAGATTTTATTAAATGCATACATTGATAAGGTTATTTCACAAAATATCTGAAGGTAAATCGAAAAATAATCGCAGAAAGGAAAAAGTAATGGTAGTTAAGCTGCTGGCTCTGAGGGTAAGAAATAAAATAAAAAAAGAATAAACAGCTTGACATGCTGAAAGCCAGGAGTCCCCAAAACGGAGACTCCTTGGTTTCCTAATTTTGAAAAGCAAGGGTACAGAAGAAGTGTGTGATCCAGGAACTATGAGGAGTACAGCTATATACTCATAAAATATAAGACAGACATCCATCATTCACTATGGAGAACGGTTATTTTATAATTTACATGGCAAAAATAAAATTTACTAAAGGAATAACAAAGGAAACCCACAAGTATGAAAGCTCACTAGGCTAGAAACAAAGCTCACTAGGCTGAGATAACAAAAAGGGTTGGATTGCCAAATCTGATGCACAGAATCAGAGATCTTACCCAGTATCAGAGTTTACTAATAATCCTTAGGATACCAGGATCATGAGACACAGGAAATGCAAGAAGTCTGAGGCCATCCCTGCAGCTCCCCAGGATCCTTCCTTGCTACTTTGGGATAAACCCAGGCCCAAATTTAACCACTCACCTGTTCATTAAACAAGAAAGGCCATTTGGTCATGAAACATCTTCTGTAGTCTAACTGTGACATAACTAACAGTAACAATTTCATGTGGTCCATGACTCATAAATCCAAAAATTCCAGGTTTATTTACCATAAGCAGCAAACAACTAGGTACATCCTGCTAAAAGCATTCCATAGGTAATGGCCATCAGGAGGATCAATTCGCATGTTTAAAAGTTTTGATCTGATCATTTTTTCTATTCTAACAACATATCTCAATTTCAATCTAATACGTCTTGTTACCAGGCACAATTTTATTTCTCACTGCATAGAAATAGTTGCCTCTGCAGTTTACCTCTTCCTGGCCACGATAACCACAATCCAAATATTCCACAGAGAGTCTTCTCTCAGTTAAAGAAAATTTACCTACTGGCTTATTACTAGTATCATTATATAATCTATTTTAGAAAAATCCATGAAAATTTTCTTGTTCCTTTCTCTTTCTAATAATGGCTGTGAATCACGTTGTTGACTGGATTATTCTTTGTAATAACTAATAGCAAACCCAGAGCCAAAATTTTCAGCCTAGCAGAAAGTGTTGAGGCGTTATTCTGCTAAAATAAAATGTACGTGTATTTTGTGTCCTAACCTTATAACTAATTCCATATTATTTTTACTACTCTTAGTTTGGGGATTATTTTTATGCTTGTGCTCATATTCATTGTCTCACTATTATTATTTTCAGATTATATGAATCTCTGTACATTCATTTAAACTAATATCAAAAGAGCTAGAATATAAATTCACATAAAATAGAAAGCTATAGCTAACTGGAAACTATTAAGACATTGAATTGCTTGATTCCTTCTTGCTCAAATTATTAGCTATTCTTGAAGTTTTATAACTTGTATAGTAATAAAAGGGTCCTACAGCATAAGAATATATTAACCAGGTAATGAGAAGTATACATCATATGAATACCTATACAAAACACACGATATAATTAAGGTCATTCAAATTATCATGAATGCAAGGTCAGTATGCACCTTTTGTCTTTCAGGACTGATTTCAGCTGTATGTACAACTGAAAAGATGCATCAGAAATATCTTAACAGGTTCCTGTTACAAGACAAGCAGAAGAAAATAATCATAATCATACTGATTCTACCTCAAATAAGTTTGGAATCCACTTATTCCTGTTGGTACTACAACCACTCTAATCTCACACCTGGAAAAGAAGTATTAAAGGAATACCCTACAGAACAGAAAGGTCTTTTTTAAAATGCAAATTTGATTGTGGCACTTCTGCTAAAAGATCTTCCAGGGCTTTCTACTGCTCTTGGAATAAAGTCCAAAACCCTTAACATAGCCAGAAAGTCTGCCTGTGACTGCTGCCTCACCCGTTCACCTTTCCTTCCACACTCACCCCATCACTTTGTTACCTACATATTTCTGAAGTGTGTACTATGCAAAACAAACACACTCAAGAAGCACAATCTATACTCTAGCCTTTTCTTTCCTGCAGAATCAAGCTTCTTGAAAGGGTAGTCTGAATTCGCTGTTTCCACTTCATGCTTGTGTCAATTCTACAATCTAAATGCTGATCCTAGCACTCCTTGGTAAATGCATATACCCAGATAAGTGGAGAACTCTTACTTGCCAAATCCAAGAGACGTTTATTCATTTCTAAACACCACTGACATCTTTGTGGACTCTGACTCAATTTACTCCCCAGTTCTCAAAACCCTTTCTTCTTCTTGACTTCTAGAATATGGCTGGATTATCTTCTGCCTCCTATTCCTTTAAGACTCCTAGTGGCTGCCTAAAACCATTCATAGTACTAAACGCTCTATATATGACATGTTTTAAATCTGATAACAACTCAGCGACTACTAAATGACTGATGGGCAGGCGGTACAGACAGTGTGGACACATTGCACAAAGGGACAATTCATGTCCCAGGCAGGATGGAGTTGGAAGGTAAGAGAGATCATCATACTACTCAGAACAGCAAGCAATTTAAAACGTATAAATGTTTTTGTCTGGAACTTTCCCTTTCATATTTTTGGACCACAGTTGATCATGGGTAACTGAAACCTCAGAAAGTAAAACCACACATAAGATGTGTGAAAAGTATCAGAATAAAAATGAAGTCAGTTGCGTCACACCCTAAGAAAATAAATAAAGCCAGGAGTTTCTAAGGAGGGCCTTTGTGTACACATGCCTATGATAAGAACTACTACAAAGACTACCTGAAGGGCTTGTGGGCATATATGCTTATAACAAGAACTTTCGTTATGGACTCCTAACTGCTGCTTGCTACATCAGTCCCAAGGACAGCTAACTGGATGCACAGGAATATTTACCTGACACATTGTCTCCAGTAGTAAACTGGTCAACTCCTGCCAGAAGTCCCTGTATCCAGTGTTCTCTTTGTTTCAAAACAACTTAGTGTACTCCTCCTTTTGCTGTTAAAATCTTTCCCTTACCTCGACCTTCTCAAATGCACCCATGGTTGCAGCACACATATTCTGCCTGCAAAGCTTCTGCAGAGTTCAGAATAAACTCCTTGTCTTTAGAGAATCTACGTTTTGTGGGCTGACAGCAGGGGCTACTGTATTTGTGTTATCTCGAGTTCCATCTCTCAGTTCTGTCCCTGAATTATTTTCTACTTCTAGAAATTCACCTACACACCCAATGATCTCTAAATCTTTTTCTGCTGCCACTCTCTCAAATGATATTTGGACCCATATGTTTAACTATCTACTACACATCACGACCTTGGTATGACACAGTAGCCTCAATATTGACATGCCCAGTGTTGTACCTTCCTCCCTACAGAGTGCCTTATATTCCCTGAAAGCTATTTAAAAACTGGGAATCATACTAGACTCTTATTTCTCCCTCAGAGGTTCTAACAATTCTGCCTTCTAAATACTCCCCCCCTCTGCTCCATCCACCCCACTCTGTTCCATCCACTTTTTCAAGAAGTGCCTCTGTAATTGGAGTTAAGTAAAAGACGTAAAAGTAAAAAATGTTTCAAGGGAATGGTAAAAGGCGGGCTAAGTCAAAAAACATTTTCCCAACGAAAATAAACTGGTTTTCTCAATGATTGCAGCACTATTCACAATAGCAAAGACTTGGAACCAACCCAAATGTCCATCAATGATAGACTGGATTAAGAAAATGTGGCAAACATACACCATGGAATACTATGCAGCCATAAAAAAGGATGAATTCATGTCCTTTGCAGGGACATGGATGAAGCTGGAAACCATCGTTCTCAGCAAACTATCACAAGGACAGAAAACCAAACACCGTATGTTCTCACTCATAGGTGGGAACTGAACAATGAGATCACTTGGGCAGGGAACATCACACACCAGGGCCTGTCAGGGGGTGGGAGGCTGGGGGAGGGATAACATTAGGAGAAATGCGTAATGTAAAGGACGAGTTGATGGGTGCGGCAAACCAACATGGCACATGTATACATATGTAAAAAACCTACACTTTGTGCACATGTACCCTAGAACTTAAAGTATAATAATAATAATAATAATAAAAGAAATGGATTCTCTCAAGTATAGTACTTCTCAGAGATTTAAAATGCTAATATGTATTGTGACTCTTCAAGAAACATGTTTAGGATGCAGCATTTCTCCCAAGCTAGTGAGACCCTTTTTCCTAAAACACTATTAAACAGCTAGTAGAAGTAAAATGCAGCAGCACACAGTTTGCGTTTTGCTAGTTATTCTTTTTGAGGTCAACTTAATGAGGGTTCTTAAAAATGGCATCTGAAGGACTCATAAATTTATATGTTTCTACATTTTGGGTGGGAATGGGCAGCCCTATACTGTACATGGACTCTTGCCTCCCTCCTCAAGGTACTTCTCAGGATATGCGGTCTTCCTCCCACCTCTGCTACACTGCAGGGTAATTTCCTGTTCTTTGATTAATAAATCAAATAAATTCATCAAATATTTATTAAGCACCCATTCTGTACAAGACACTGTGATAGTTATTAAGGATACCAAAAATGATAAAATGCAATTTTCCCTCCAGGGCACGGATTAGTGGGAAACACATTTGTAAAAAAAATTAATGTGATAAAATGCTATAAAAGATGCACTAAGTTTTGTGGGAGCACACAGGAAGAAATGATATCACCTTCTTGGAGAGACATGAAAAGGGATCAGAGAAGATTGAGCAACATCTTTACATTTGGTTAAATAGATAGTTTATAGTCTCCTTACAAGCCCCCACCCCCCCCACCCCCGCAAAAAGACTTTTACAAGGTAGAAAAATATTCCTATTTTATAAATGAAAACTTTTGTTCAATATAGTTAAATTTCTCTAAATTCACAAAGCTGATAAGTAGCAAAACAAATTTGAACTCAGATTGGTCAGACAAGAATGGGGGAAGAGAAGGAAGGAAATTATATTCCATAGAGAGGCAACAATAGGCAAGACGTATAAAAAGGTGTGGCTCATTGGGGAAACCAAAAGCACTGGGGAATAGGTGAAGTGAAACACCAGGTCTATGTGCGGCTGTGGACTGGGGAAAGTTGTTGGGAGTTGTGAAAGGTCTGCACATTAGCCCTACTTGCTGCTTCATGGATGCTGGCATAAAACAGGAGACTCACAGCAAACAGCACGAACATCACGTTAGCACCCTGCTCCACAAGCGTCTAGATAGTTGCCTGCACATGTAGGGGATTGTGTTACAGGGGAAGAACACTGAACTTGTTGGGGATTCACCACTTTTACAGCAAGCCTAAGCAATCCTTCTCTTTATTCTGGGGGAGACCGTCCCTCAAAGTTGCTCACTGCAAACACAACACTGACACATGGCCCAAGCAGAGGGAAGTCAGAGCCTTCAATTGTTAGCATGCCCAGTCAAAACACACAGGGATGCTCAAGGCCCATGGTGGGTTATCTCCAGCAACAGGGAGGCAAGGTAGGAAACAGTGGATAGGCCACAGCAGACAAAGACTGGAAAAGAAGGCAAGGATTATATCCCTGAGAAATGTAAATGCAAGACATGGAAGTCTGAGCTTTTGCCATAGCACTAGAGAACCATGAAGGGTGTCTTAAGATGTGTATCAAACCCCTGTGGATTTATGTATATGACTTGCACAGCTTTTCTAAGACCTTCTCCTCCACCCCCCAACCCACCTTCATAGTTAGTTGGAAAATAGCCATACTTTATAAGGCGACACCCTCCTTGAAGTTTTTAAACTCATGACCAAGAGAGTATGGTCAGTTTCTCCCTTTTGGTGGAAGCGTTATAGCAGTCATATTTTCTGTTACGTGAAGCAAATCACTCTGCAGCAGAAAAAACTATGCAAAAGCCAAACAGAGAGATTTGTAAGCACTCTAGTCCCAACTGTCATTGCTTTAGCCCATCTGCATCCCTCCCCCTCCTTTGTCTTCATTGTCCCTTGAGATGCACTGACAATGTACTTCACTGGCCTGCTGTCACTGAAATCTTAAAGTGTGAACAGTTTAGAGAGGAAATGGAATCAGGTTTTCCATATGGAAACATCACTGTATTAGTCAATTTTCATACTGCTATAAAGAACTGCCCAAGACTGGGTAATTTATAACAGAAAGAGGTTTAACTGACTCCGTTCTGCATAGCTGGAGAGGCCTCAGGAAACTTGCAATCATTGCGGAAGGCAAAGGAGAAGCAGGCACTTTCTTCACAAGGTGGCAGGACAGAGTAAATGCCGCGCAAAGGGGAAAAAGCCCCTTATAAAACCATTAGATCTCGTGAGAACTCACTCACTATCACAAGAATAGCACTGGGGTAACTGCCCCCATGATTCAATTGCCTCCCACTGGGTCCCTCCCACAACACGTGGGGATTATGGGAACTACAATTCAAAATGAGATTTGAGTGGGGACACAGCCAAACTATATCATTGAGGCAGTAGGGGAAACTAGACCACTGGGGCAGTGGGGGAAATGGCTTCCAATGAAGATAAAACTGCAAATAAAACCAATACGCTATCATGACAGTCCAAGAGAGAAATGATGTTTCTTTGTTCTTAAAGATATGGCCATAATTAGGTATTCTGATTTGAAGATGACTTTAGAAATAATTCCTGGCTCTGAAGTTAGTTTAGATCATCTCAGTGTTTCCAGGGATGATTTTTGAGGAATAATTTTATTTATGGTAGCTCAGGAGCAAAAACAGACTCTTCCAAATGCGGAGAAAGAGCACGCAAAGTTAAAAAAGAAGGGGCCAGATCACCAAGGGTCTGAGAAGCTACATCAGAGCCAAGATGATCAGGATAAAGAACAGTGAGAGTGACTATTGTTTTGCTGCTATTGGACTCAATCCCAGGAGCCTGGAAAGTGTTATCACACAGAGAAGCTCAAGACGATAGGATGGCAAGGCCTTCATCTCAGTGCTCCTGTAAGTGTGAATGACATTTATAAATACTAATCACAGGGTAACTATTAAATCTGATTTAATTTTTAAATATCTTTTTTAAGAATTCAAACATAGAAATTTGTAAAGTATATATTTTCACTTCTTCACTGCTTTTTCTCCAACGAATTCTATTCTCCAATGCTATCTACGACTAATGGCATTCTGTCCACATTGTTTGGGATTTGTTAATACATAAATCGATATGTAAGTAGTTTTTTTTTTTAAGTGGGGCCATATTTGCTTTTTCCTTTCAATGATGTCTTAAGTCACTTGTTCATTTTGGTTTTTCGTTGTTTTGTTTAAGACAGACTCTCTGTCACCCAGGCTGAAGTGCAGTGACATGATCATAGTTCACTGCAGCCTTCACCTCCTGGGCTCAGGCTATCCTCCCACCTCAGCTACCTGATTAGCTAGGACCACAGGTGTACAACACTACACCTGGTTGATTTTTTAATTTTTTGTAGAGATGGAGTCTCCCTATTTGCCCAGGCTGGTCTTGAACTTCTGAGCTCAAGAAATCCTCCTGCCTTGGCCTCCCAAAGTGCTCAGATTACAGGCGTGAGCCACCAAGCTAGGCCTCTACTTTGGTTATTTATACAGCTTTACCTTTATTCATTTAATGTCCACATAATTATCCATAATTTATCATTTAGTAGATGTTTACATTAGCTACAATGAACATGCTTATATATAAATCAGTTTGAATTTTGTCCAATTACTTTCTTGGAATATGTTCCTATAAGTTGGGCAAAGGGTATTCAGCATTTAAACTTTGATTCATACTGCGGAATTCTCCAGAAGGCAGAGACAGTCTTTATCAGCCTTCTTTTTCAGTGTTTGTAGATGAGAATGCTCTGTTTCCTACAGTCACAGGAACATTAGATATTTGTATTTCTAATCTTTGATAACGTCATATTCCTGAGAAATTATATTTCCTCTGTTAAGTTCACTAATCTTCACATATCCACAGTAGTCATTTACATTATTTGAGTTTCCTCTTTATGTTCTTTTTTCATTTCACATGGTATATTTGTGTATTTGTTACCAATTTATGAGGGTTCATTTATGATTAAGGATGCTAACCTTTTGATTGCTGTGCATTACAGATGCAATGTCACAGGGCTCCATTTCACTGTGGTATTTCATTTTATTTTATTGTACAGAAGTTATGTATTCAAATACAATCATGTTCTTTTATTTTTAAGAAAGGCAGTGAACAAGAAATAAAGATAAGATTTGGATTTTATTGGGAGCTCAGTTGGGAATCTATTGGCAAATGGACTAGCAAGGGCTAAGAACAGAAATAGGCTGATTGAGCAATTCAGCCACGAAAAGGCACTGGGTTAAAACAAGGTGGTAGCAATGGTGATAGGCAGAGAATTCACAAAGGCATTTGTGAAACAGAATCTAGGAGAATTTGGTGATTGAATTGACAGCGTAGGTGGGGATTAAGCTATCACATCATCATGGGGTGTTATCCATGCAGTCACATTTTCAACTGAAGCCTAAAGAGCTAGCTGTTGCCAATGCTCTTCACAAAAGGGGTAAGAGGAAAGGGTGGGGAAGGGAGGGAAAGGAACATTTAACAGAAGCATGATTATGAAGCAACTGAATGTGAGTAAAGAAATTATTGACTAGAACTTCTAAAAACTTTTATAAAGTAACTCTAGAACAGATTTGTGTTTCTATACATTTTAAATACAAATCAAATTATCTTCTGAAAGCTGTGGCTTGACATATTTAAAGTATATAAAGTGTTATCATACAGAATCCTGGGAGAAAATAGACTGGCACCCTAAAATTAGATTTAATAAAATTTTTATAAAGAGCAGGATATAGGAAAGCTATAAGGATCATGCAATATTCCCTAGCTAATAACCGAGGTGAGGTCACTGATACTGCCCCTTAGGAAGCAAAGAGAGAAAGTAGTTATAAGGATTCAGAGACTTGTGAGGACACTCAACAGGAGCTATGGTTTTATGTAAAGGGTCATAACCAACCTGTAGTGACTCTATAAAGGTGAGACCTATGTCTGCCCCACTCCACTTGCCCAGTCCTTCTGTAGCTACTGCCTCCCATTAACTGCCAGAGCCAAGAATGCCCACTGATAGGGCCCAGGAACAAAGGGTAGGGTGGAGAGGCCTTCTGAAGGGGCAGACAGAGATTTGCCAGCACACTCCACCCTTGTGCTTTTCACATGGAAGATAAGTTCTTATCTCCAATATAGGGGACTTGCCAAGACCCTCAGCACTACAACACGCAAGAACACAATAAAGTAGAGAAGTAACTCCTACTCACTTGATGAAGCCAATCAGACATTAGAGAATCTATCCCTACTCACATTAATTCAGCCTTAAAACCATCTTATATTTCCAGGGAAAGTAGCTTCCTCTTTACCTTAATTGAATTAATTCAAATAGCATTATTTTGCAAAAGTCCAGTGTTTTTTTGTTTGTTTGTTTGTCTTTTTGAGACAGAGTCTCGCTCTGACGCCAGGCTGGAGTGCAGTGGCACAATCTTGGGTCACTGCAACCTCCACCTCCCAGGTTCAAGCGATTCTCCTGCCTCGGCTTCCCGAGTAGCTGGGATCACAGGCACGTGCCACTACGCCCAGCTAATTTTTGTATTTTTGGTAGAGACGGGGTTTCACCATGTTGGCCAGGATGGTCTCGATCTCTTGACCTCGTGATCTGCCCACCTCAGCCTCCCAAAGTGCTGAGATGTGAAAAAGCCCAGTCTTTAGTTCTTAAACCTTGTCTATGAATAAACAAATTTGATTTTACCATATGAATGAACTACAAATAATAAAATATTTAGTATATTAAATAATGAAAACATGGACTATGTTCCTAAGAGTACAGGATTAATACCTTGAGAGGGAGTGAGGGGAGGCAAATATTTGAAACTTTGATATTCCATTAAGATGAAGGAAGGCCGGGCGTAGTGGCTCACGCCTGTAATCCCAGCTCTTTGGGAGGCCAAGGCGGGCGGATCACGAGGTCAGGAGATCGAGACCATCCTGGCTAACACAGTGAAACCCCGTCTCTACTAAAAATACAAAAAAATTAGCCAGGTGTGGTGGCGGGTGCCTGTGGTCCCAGCGACTCAGGAGGCTGAGGCAGGAGAATGGCACGAACCTGGCAGGCGGAGCTTGCAGTGAGCCAAGATCGTGCCACTGCACTCCAGCCTGGGCGACAGAGAGAGACTTGGTCTCAAAAAAAAAAAAAAAAAAAAAAAAGAATGGAAACGATTCTACTATGATTTCTCTGTCTGCTCCCTGACCAAGCACAAATAATTATTTAAATGTATCTAAGAACATTTTGTAATAGAATCAATTATGTCACATTTGTAGAGACTATTACTGTTTACAAACCGCCTTCCCAATACCACATGCTTCTCAAAAACCACTGAAAGGGAAAAGGGACAAGCCTGTGAATAAAGAGAAATACTTTCTGAGAGGTTGGGTCATTTGCTAAAGGTCACATAGGTAGTAAGTGATGGAGTGAAGACTAACCTATTTCAAAACTACAAATTCATCGTTATTCACATTATTCACTAAAATATGTGACCACAGGCCATTATCCTAAGCAAATTAACACAGGAATGGAAAACCAAATACCACATGTTCTCACTTATAAGTGGGAGCTAAACACTGTGCTCTCATGCACATAAAGATGGGAAACACAGACACTGGGAACTTCTAGAGAGGGGAGGGAGGGAGGTGGACAAGGGTTGACCAACCATCTGTTGGGAATTATGCTAAGTAACCAGGTGATGGGATCATTCATATCCTAAATCTCAGGATAACACAATAAACCCAAGTAACAAACCTGCACATGTTCCCCCTGAATCTAATATGAAAGTCGGGAGAAAAAACAAATAACACAGGCATCTTCCTCGTCCCTTGACAAAAAAAAAGAAAAGAAAAGAAAAGAAAATATGTGATCATAATACGCAACAAATAAGGTGACAAGTCTGCTTTTCCCATTTATTTTCCATGACATTTTCATGGTTTGTCATAACTACTAGTTTTCCTTATGTAAGATATTTCCAAAGATGAATTGAATAGGAAATATTTTAAAACCTGAAGTTTTTTGTGTGCTTCTGAACTTATCAAAGGAAGAAGTAAAATTTGGTTCTGCTCTTGTAATGCAAACTCTTAACAATACAAACACAGATCCACATAGCTTCACCTAACAAATAGTACCCTGAAGAACTCATTGATTTCTCAGCTTTTTTAGTTTTGCCATGTTTTTCTTATTCCCTTTACCTTTTAAGTTGATCAAATACCTTTTTTAAAAATGACTTTTTTCCCCCTAGAGTAAAATGAATTCCAAGCCTGGTGAGAACAGGCTGTTAATCTCTTCATTTTATTGACCTACTTCAGTTTTAGCTCATTAAACACAGACATCTCAATGATCAAAAGAAAATGAACCAAATGTAGCTCGGTATAACCTTACCGAATAAGAGAGTTATTCAAAGAGCAAATAAATCTGCACAAGTAATTTGATATTGACAATCTTCCATTTAAAGAATATATATGTAATGAACAAGGACATCCAGAAATAATTTTTATGCTCATTTAATCAATGAAGACACACTCTTGGTGTGCTTTTTAACCAATTCTCTTCTCAGATTTTATCTTCTCCCAAGGCAAATATTGAAGAAATCATGAACTAGATTCTCTTGAAACTGTAAAACAAGGAAAAGCAAAAGACTAACAAAATAGCTGCGAAGATTATTTAATTATGCTGCCTATAAGGAATTATAAGAACTGAAATAGATTTGGTTATTATAGCACAGAGGAGAGAAAAACTAGTAATTTAAACCCATTATCCTAATAAGAGTAATAAACAATTTAAGTTATGAAACAATATTTACTAGCTTTTAAATACAACAACATTTGAAACATATTTAAGTTAATAGCTGGACCATATCTAATTATGCAGGTTTGTTTCATTAGCATTGACTTAAATAGTCTTTCTACTTAAGTAAAATTTCCTAGCAGCTCTTGTAAAATATCCTAAACAAATAACCAGCCACAATTCATACACGAAAATTATAATTTTCTATGCTACCATTGAAAAGAGGTCTTAAAGACTAGATAAACCTAGGTATCCATCAGCAGATGAATGGACAAAGAAAATGTGGATATGATAGAGTACTATTCAGCCATAAAAAATAAGGAAATGCTGTCATTTGCAACAACATGGATGAACCTGGAGGACATTATATTAAGTGAAATAAACCAGGCACAAAAAGACAAATACCACATGATCTCATTCATGTAGAATCTAAAAAGGTTGATCTCATAGAAAGAGAGAGGAGAATGGTGATTATCAGGAGCTGGGGCTGTTGGGGAGGAGGAAGAGTTGGAAAGATGTTGATCAAGGGACACATATTTACAGATAGATGAAAAGAATAAATTCAAGTGACCTATTACATAGCATGGTGACTACAGTTAATATGATATATTGTATTCTTGAAAAATGCTAAGAGAGTGAATGTTAAATGTCCTCACCACAACAAAATTGGTAACTAGGTGAGGTAATGCATAGTTTAATTAGCTAGATTTAACCATTCCACAATGCATCTGTACTGTGCTTCAAACCATCATGTTGTATGTGGTAAATACACCCAATTTTATCTGTCGATTTAAAATAAATTTTTTAAAAAGATTAGATAAATATTTCTAAAATTGGAATTGTTGGAAATATTTCAGAGACAGATTATACCTGCTACAGTATATCATGTTTTGTGATTTAATAGCAATTATTTGTTTCCTTATTCTGAAAACTGTGGTCCCTCTGGTTGATCCACAATAGAGACTGAACTCCAAGTCAGTGTCCTTTAACAAACAATGATCAGCTCAGGAATAGTTCCACAGACGAGTGATGTATACTTTACTCCCGACATGGGATTAACAAGGGTGAAACACAGAAAAGCTGAATTATTTTCTAGTTCCTTACTGTTAATTTCCTCCTAGAAAAATACTATTTTGCAGAAAAAAAATCAAGTAATACACAAGCCAACCATTCCAGAGCCAAATGCAAATTATAACTGCTCATCTTTATTTTTCTCCATTCTCTCAACAACAGATCAATGCTGTAAGGCAGATCAGTCACCCCACTACATGACGATAACAGCTGTGCAAATTAATCCTTTAGATGTTAAATAATTTTCTTTTCCTTACAGGACATCTGAGAATACTCCTTTCTAAACCTTTGTCTGGCAACTCATTTACTCCATTTCAAAAATGTTAGATAGCAGATAAAAAGTCCTTTAAATTTAAAAGGTTTGGTCACTTTATAAAATTTGTGGCAGTTATGTAAGCAAAAATTAACCCCACAAAAACAATTCATTCAACACAAATGAGCCCACATACATTTTAAGGAACTTCACTCTCTATATTTCTCATTCTACTAACATTAAGCATAAAAAATAATTAAACACAATAAATAACCTATTAGGTATCTACAAAAATAAGATTCAATTCTACAAATCACTATTTATTTATAAATGTTGGCCTAATCACAGAACCAAAAGGGAAATCAATCACAGATCCTGCTCTCAAATAGCCTATAGTCTAGTAAAAAGAAAGAAATATATTTAAAATCAGTATTGCTACTTTGAGTCCCTACCTTCCATTAGAAATAAGTATTGACCCATACGTGGTGAGTTTCAGGATGTCAAGGCTAATCAAAGAAAATACAGGACCACAAGAGGGCGGTAGTACAAAAGGAGCTTTATTTGGGTGGTGCTTTGACAGGTTGCCAAGAGGCGAAGTCCCTCACAACAGGAGACCTTCCAGAGACAATGGTGCCTGGCTACCACCCAGAAGGAGAAGATGACAAGCGAACTCCCAGGAGAAGGGGAAATTGGAGAGGGGGCTTGCACGTCTAGGTGATACCACTTACTAGAAATTGGGAAGTGTCTGGGTCAGAGAACTTTGAAGGGTATCAATGGCTTGGGGTCTTTTAGTGTCCCAGAGTTTACTTTATCTATGGTTAGCAGATGTTCAGTTAAATTTTATCAGGTATGCAAAGCAGGTAGGCTTTAAATGGCTAAAAATATATTTATTTGAGCTATATTTAAAGCAACTGGATGTATAAAAATCGGAGTTGGGTACCATTTGGCTTTGGGCTAATGGTCCTAGCCTGCTGTGAAGAAGTAAGAAAAACATGGGGGTCCATCTTTAACCCATTTATATAACATCACAAGACAAAAAATATCATTGTACACAGAAGCAGAATCTGAGATACTCAGTATCCACAGGCCTATGTCTAGAGTTTAACTTAAGAATCAGAGTTCAAAAGACATATCAGAATACTACTTAAAGCTTTATTAAATTATTCAACAATCATTTAAACTCTTATTCTCTGCCAAGCCCTGTTCTATGCACCAGATACTCCACAGTCAATAAGGTACACGTTAGGACTGGCTACATAATTTGCAGAGACCAATGCAAAAAGAAAATGCAGGGCCTTTTGTTCAAATTTCAATTAGGGCCAGGCATGGTGGCTCACACCTATAATCCCAGAATTTTGGGACACCAAGGTATGCAGACTGCTTGAGCCCAGGAGTTCAAGACCAGCCTGCGCAAGGTGGCAAAACCCCATCTCTACAAAAAATACAAAAATTAGCTGGGCATGGTGGCATGCACCTACGGGCCCAGCTACTCAGAAGGCTGAGGTGGGAGAACTACCTGAACCTAGGGAGGTCAAAGCTGCAGTGAGCTGTAATTATACCACTGCACTCCAGCCTGGGTGACAGAGTGAGACCCTGTCTGAACAACAAAAAATTTCAATAGGTTGACAAGAGAACATTAAACCAACCACACGGTTCATTGGAGTGTAGGATCCTGCTTGACTGCACAGATCACATGCCCAGGAAAATGGCCCTAGCAGGTATGTTCTCTGTCTCCATCACGTACACAACCTAGTGGCAAAAGACCCAGAGTTAAAACAAAGAAAAGGAACGTGGCGCCGTGAAAAGTGCCACACAGGAAACAAAAAGGATTCCACCATAATAAGTGGTGTAACCTAGTTTCGTGAACTTGAGAAAGGCCTCTGTGAAGAGCTGACATTTAAGCTAAGATATGCAAACAAGCCAACCACACAGTCTGTGTGTGTGAAGGACCCACAGGTTGAAGAGTTCACACCTGTGGTTTTCAACGAGGACAAGTTTGTCTCCCATGGGACAGTTGGCAAAGTCAGGAGTCATTTTTGGTCATCACGACTTGGTGGAGAGTGGTAATGCTATTGGTATCTAGTGGATGGAGGTGAGAGATGCTTCTGAACATTCTACAATACACAGGACAGCACCCCACAACAAAGAATTGCCAATCCCCCAATGTCAATGGCACTCAGGCTGAAAAACCCTAACGTATAGTAATGTAAATCATGTACAAAGCCATGAGTTGTGTAGGAGTTTGGCACATGTGCCTTTGATGTCCTCAGCCATGTATGTGACTTTATGGTAGAGAATACTGGAAACCTACAGTTCTAACGACAAAGGTGAATTTAATTTATGCTACAGAGATTTAATCCAATACTGTACAGCCACTTTAAAAAATCAGGCTTAGAAAGATATTTAACAGCATGGGAAATGGGAAATAAAGATACATTCATAATTGGAAAAGCCATGTTTTTCAAAAAGGAAATTATTCTATATTCTTTCAAAAAATAGTCATGCTTAGCAGGGGGCTGATGAGCATGCTAAAAAGACAATGCAAAGGCATTTCGGTGGTTATTTCTGGATGGTAAAATTATTTTACTTTATTTGTACTTTTCAGTTTTATAAATTTTTAAGAAAACATACATTCTTCCATAAAAACGTGGAAGTATAACATCTTCTTTTCTTTCTATAAAGGTACACTGCACATTCAACTTACATAGTAGCCATATGTGGCCCTGATGCAACTAATCAAGGGCTGTGCTGTTTGTGGTGATTCACAGAGGAATGAATAATCATTTTAGGATAATTTGGGCAATCTCATTAGTGAAATGGAAGATTTACTAAAACTGAAAAGTTCAAGAATTGAGAGCACAATCAGTGCTGCCTTTTCTTCTAGTTGAAGGTCA